>NW_015495299.1:300000-535088 GCF_000001405.40 Homo sapiens | reverse complement strand
AGTGGCAGGCAGAAGCTGGAAAGCTCCTTAAGGAGGTGAATAGTGAAGACTCGAAGGACACCGAAGAAATTGCTATTGGAAACTGGAGAAAACGTGACCTGAATTATGTGCAGACCAATTAGCAAAACTATCCCCTGTAGCATGGAAGACAGGAAGAATATGTCGTAAACAGATAGCTCTGGCTAGGAGATTTTCAGTCAGAATGCAGTCAGCTTCTCTGTATCCATGGGTTCTGCCTCCACGGGTTCCTCATCCATTGGCTCAACCAACCATGGGTGGAAAATACTCAAATAAATAATAATAGTACAGCAATAAAAATAATACCCATTTTTAAAATGTAGTACCACTATTTACATAGCATTTACATTGTATCTGATATTATAAGTAATCTAGAGATGTTTTAAAGTATACGGAAGGATGTGCATAGTTTATATGCAAATACTCTACCATTTTATATAAGGGACTTGAGCATCCTCGCATTCTGGTATCTGCAGTGTTCCTGGAACCAATTCCCCACACATACGACTGTATCAAAAGCACCAACTGGCTTCTTTTGGCTGCCTGTGTTAACATACAGGAGGAGAAACATGAACTAAAAAAGTAATTCTTCAGTTTTTAACCAAAATTAGGAGAAAATATACAGAATTTAGGACTTTCTGGATTCAAAAATAAAACTTTCTCTTTTCTAGCTCCTCCAGGCAGCAAAAGATCCTGGAAGAGATGACCTCACAGCAAAGATCAAATCCAGGACTCTTCTGGCAAAACATGATCCCAGGAGTAATTTTGCATCAGTGAGGTAGCCAATTTGTTGAGACCTTAGGAAGTGTTGAGGATATTCCTCATAGACCCTTTTATCTACACAGAAAGACTTCTAAGAACCTTAAATGGTATGTCTTATAAACACTCTCACCCAGACAATAGAGCTTCTAAGAATATTAAGACATTGTCCCACAGCACCCTGATTCACAGGCCAAGGTAGAGGGGGTCTGTCTCAAAAACAATTGTGTATGTGGCTTCTGTCTAATCGAGTGACCCTGTAAGGTTGATAGGACACTGGCACAGTTCAAGAGAACTGTACCATCAGCTTGGACTAAAAGATGCAAACATAGTTTAAAATGAAAAGAAGTCTGATATATGTTCATCAGCTTGCTCCTTTCCCCCCGTGGACGCCGCCAAAGAAGCATAGTTAAAGTCTCTCTTCTTCCTGCTGTCATGTCTAAGTCAGAGTCTCCTAAAGAGCCCGAACAGCTGAGGAAACTCTTCATTGGAGGGTTGAGCTTTGAAACAACCGATGAGAGCCTGAGGAGCCATTTTGAGCAATGGGGGAACACTCACAGACTGTGTGGTAATGAGAGATCCAAACACCAAGTGCTCCACGGGCTTTGGTTTTGTCATATATGACACTGTGGAGGAGGGGGATGCAGCCATGAATGCCAGGCCACACAAGGTGGATGGAAGAGTCATGGAACCAAAGAGAGCTGTCTCAAGAGAAGATTCTCAGAGACCAGGTGCCCACTTAACTGTGAAAAAGATATTTGTTGGTGGCATTAAAGAAGACACTGAAGAACATCACCTAAGAGATTATTTTGAGCAGTGTAGAAAAATTGAAGTGACTGAAATCATGACTGACAGAGTCAGTGGCAACAAAAGGGGCTTTGCCTTTGTAATCTTTGACAACCATGACTCTGTGGATAAGATTGTCATTCAGAAATACCACACTGTGAATGGCCACAACTGTGAAGTTAGGAAAGCCCTGTGAAAGCAAGAGATGGCTAATGCTTCGTCCAGCCAAAGAGGTCGAAGTTGTTCTGGAAACTTTGGTCGTGGTCGTGGAGGTGGTTTTGGTGGGAATGACAACTTTGGTCATGGAGGAAACTTCAGTGGTCGTGGTGGCTTTGGTGGCAGCCATGGTGGTGGTGGATATGGTGGCAGTGGGGATGGCTATAATGGATTTGGTAATGATGGAAGCAATTTTGGAAGTGGTGGAAGCTACAATGACTTTGGCAATTACAACAGTCTTCAAATTTTGGACCCATGAAGGGAGGATTGGAGGCAGAACCTCTGGCCCCTATGGTGGTGGAGACCAATACTTAGCCAAACCATGAAACCAAGGTGGCTATGGCTGTTCCAGTAGCAGCAGTAGCTATGGCAGTGGCAGAAGCTTAGCAGGATAGGAGAGCCAGAGAAGTGACAGGGAAGCTACAAGTTACAACAGATTTGTGAACCCAGCAAAACACAGTGGTGGCATGGCCTAGCTGCTACAAAGAAGACATGTTTTAGACAAGTACTCATGTGTATGGGCAAAAAGCTCGAGGACTGTATTTGTGACTAATTGTATAACAGGTTATTTTAGTTTCTGTTCTGTGGAAAGTGTAAAGCATTCCAACAAAGGATTTTGAAATGTAGATTTTTTTTTGCACCCATGCTATTGATTGCTAAATGTAATAGTCTGATCGTGATGCTGAATAAATGTCTTTAAAAAAAATGAAAAGAAGTCGCTGGGCCATAGGTTTATATTGATAGAAAGAAAGCTGAGGAAGCTACTCAGCTGTAAATACAGGCCATTTCTTATGCAAAAGGAAAGATGACTCAGAGGGTGAAAACAAAGCCTAAATGGTGGAACCAAGAGCCACAGAGGACCACTCTAGGGAGTAGAAATGAATTTTGGTCAAAGAATTGGCAAAATTTTCTCAACTTAATTTCAGAATTGCTATGAACCAGTGACTGCTCTATGCTTCCTGTTTTCCCTTTCATGAATGGGATTTCTATTTCAGTTTTTCATCACTGCCTAGCCATTGTATTTGTGTTTTGGGTGGGAAGCGGATTATTTGTCTTTTTACTTCATCAGTCTTCAGGTTGACGATAGCTGAACCCAAGAAACCTTAAGCTCACCTAGATATGATTCAGATGACATGATCCTGGATTTAAAGCCCAAACCTGATGCCATGGTATGAGTAGACTTCAATGGTCTTGGAAGGGAGAAAAATGTATTTTGCATGAAGGAAGGACATACATTATTGAGAAACAGAGGGTGGACTGTGGTGGCTAGTCTCTAAGGATGGCCATCCATTGTACCATGACACTCAGTATTCATATCCTTGCATAAAACCCTCCCACATTGAATCTGGGCTGGCCTGTGACTTGAGTTAACCAGTAGAATTCAGCAAAAGTGATGCTACACTATTTCTAAGCCTAGCCTTTAAAAGGATGGACTGATTTTTTTTTCCTCCATCTTGGAATGCTGGCTTTGGGAAACCCTAAGCTGCCACGTAAAAAGTCCCGTGACAGAGGCCACATGGAGTGGCCATAAGAACAGAAGAGGTCTTCCAACTCAAATGTCCACCAATGATAGACTGGATTAAGAAAATGTGGCACATATACACCATGGAATACTATGCAGCCATAAAAAAGGATGAGTTCACGTCTTTGTAGGGACATGGATGAAGCTGGAAACTATCATTCTCAGCAAGATATCACAAGGACAAAAAACCAAACACCACATGTTCTCACTCATAGGTGGGAATTGAACAATGAGAACACATGGACACAGGAAGCGGGACATCACAATGGGGCCTGCTGTGGGGTTGGGGGAGGGGGGAGGGATAGCATTTGGAGATATACCTAATGTTAAATGACGAGTTACTGGGTGCAGCACACCAACATGGCACATGTATATATATGTAACTAACCTGCATGTTGTGCACATGTACCCTAAAACTTTGAGTATAATTAAAAAAGAAAAAAAAAGAACAGAAGAGGTCTTGAGTCTACTTAGAGAATGAACAGGCACATTGATTGCAGTAAAGTCCAGATGACTCTAACCACAGTCACCAACTGACGGCAACCATATGAGAAATTCCAAGTGAAACGAGCAGAACTGCCCACCTGAGTCAACCCATGAAACTATGAGAGATAATAAAACGATGGTTATTTTAAGCCACTAGGTTTTAGAGATACTTGTTAACAGCAAAGATGATCAAAACATACTTATTTGCATGACTCCTGAGGACTCCATGGCAATGAGTTTGAACCTATGTACAACCAAGTTTCAGAAATATATAGGCATGTCCAGTGGGCTTGGGAAGAGGGCCACCATAAGCCAGACTCCAGAGAGGAGTCTGCCACAGTGAGCCAGGTCTGAGGATAAGTGTTTAATAGATGGAAACATTTGTTCTGAGTTCAAATGAGGCTCAACTCAAGCCACCCTCATCCAACCACCCGGTTCCCTATATAATATGGGGCTAAAAAGCAAAAGCAAGATTATCAGAAAAAAGTTATATAAAAAAACCTTATCATTATGAGCCTAAGCAATTCTGCCAGAAAGATACCTTTTTTCTCTTCCACCTCACTCTCATCCCTTGTCCCAATCCCTACCGAAGAGTGGAGCAAAAAAAAATGTAACCAACAAGCCAGAGAAAGGAGTGAACACCAAAGGTGGGAAACAGGTTAGTTCCCCTGGGTACACACTCCAAGTACACCAATAGAGAGGTTAGGCACCATCAATGTGGACAATGTGGACAAATCGTTATTAATAATTAATGAGGGACAATGAGGGAAGCTGCCAAAACAGAAGGCTGGCAGACATAGGATGTTGACATAAACTACATGAGAAACAAACTCCCATTTTTGTAGATTCACAGAGAGAAGAAAGATTGAGGTAAGGTGAGAAGGTAAGGTGAGCGATGCTATTAATTGACACACATATAGGGAAAAACAGTTGAAGTCATCTCATCCAGGAGCCAGAAGCTTGTTGGGGACATTTGGGTTACATATGTGAATCCTTTATTGAACTTATCACAGAGAGCAAATACCATATTCTTAATCATCTTTCTATCTGTAGTTCCCAGGACCATGCCTGGTACAGAGTAGGTCTCAATCAGTATTGGCTTAGAAATATTATGGCAATCAGAAATAAATAAAAAAGTGGCTTGGGGTGGTGGCTCACACCTGTAGTCCCAGCACTTTGGGAGGCCGAGGTGGGCAGATCACTTGAGGTCAGGAGTTTGAGACCAGCCTGGCAAACATGGCAAAACTTCATCTCTACTAAAAAATACAAAAAAAAAAAAAAAAAAAAAATAGCCAGGCATTGTGGTGCAGGCCTGTAATCCCAGCTACTTGGCAGGCTGAGGCAGGAGAATTGCTTGAACCCAGGAAGCAGAGATTGCAGTGAGCCAAGATGATGCCACTGCACTCCAGCCTGGGCAACAGAGTGAGACTCTGTTTCAAAAAAAAAGAGAGAGCCGTTTCAAGATGGCCGAATAGGAACAGCTTCAGTCTGCAGCTCCCAGTGTGATCAATGCAGAAGACGGGTGATTTCTGCATTTTCAACTGAGGTCCCTGGTTCATCTCATTGGTTCTGGTTGGACAGTGGGTGCAGCCCACAGAGGGCAAGCCGAAGCAGGGCGGGGTGTCACCTCACCCAGGAAGCATGAAGGATCAGGGGATTTCCCTTTCCTAGCCAAGGGAAGTCGTGACAAACTGTACCTGGAAAAACGGCACACTCCCACTCAAATACTGCACTTTTCCAACCATCTTAGAAAACGGCACACCAGGAGATTATATCCTGCCCCTGGTTCAGTGGGTCCCATGCCCACAAAGCCTTGCTCACTGCTAGCACAGCAGTCTGAGATCAGCCTGCGAGGCAGCAGCCCAGCAGGGGGAGGGGCGTCCGCCATTGCTGAGGCTTGAGTAGGTAAACAAAGTGGCTGGGAAGCTCGAACTGGGCAGAGCCCACTGCAGCGCAGCAAGGCTTGCTGCCTCTATAGGCTCCATCTCTGGGGGCAAGGCATAGCTGAACAAAAGGCAGAGAAACATCTGCAGACTTAAACATCCCTGTCTGACAGCTCTGAAGAGAGCAGTGGTTCTCCCAGCATGGTGTTTGAGCTCTGAGAACAGACAGACTGCCTCCTCAAGTGGGTCCCTGACCCCCATGTAGCCTAACTGGGAGACACCTCCCAGTAGGGGCTGACTGACACCTCATACTGCCGTGTGCCCCTCTGTGACAAAGCTTCCAGAGGAAGGATCAGGCAGCAATATTTGCTGTTCCGCAATATTTGCTGTTCTACAGCCTCCACTGGTGATACCCAGGCACACAGTGTCTGAAATGAATCTCCAGCAAACTCCAACAGACCTGCAGCCAACGGACCTGACTGTTAGAAGGAAAAATAACAAACAGAAAGGGATAGCATCAACATCAACAAAAAGGACATCCACACCAAAACCCCATCTGTAGGGCACCAACATCAAAGACCAAAGGTAGATAAAACCACAAAGATGGGAGAAACCAGAACAGAAAAGCTGAAAATTCTAAAAACCAGAGCACCTCTTCTCCTTCAAAGGATCGCAGCTCCTCGCAAGCAACGGAACAAAGCTGGATGGAGAATGACTTTGACAAGTTGACAGAAGTAGGCTTCAGAAGGTTGGTAATAACAAACTTCTCCAAGCTAAAGGAGGATGCTTGAACCCATCGCAAGGAAGCTAAAAACCTTGAAAAAAGATTAGACAATTGGCTAACTAGAATAAACAGTGTAGAGAAGACTTTAAATGACCTGATAGAGCTGAAAACCATGGCACAAGAACTACATGACACATGCCCAAGCTTCAATACCTGATTCAATCAAGTGGAAGAAAGGGTATCAGTGATTGAAGATGAAATTAATGAAATAAAGCAAGAAGTTTAGAGAAAAAAGAGTAAAAAGAAATGAACAAAGCCTCCAAGAAATATACGACTATGTAAAAAGACCAAATCTACGTTTGATTGATGTACCTGAAAGTGACGAGAATGAAACCAAGTTGGAAAACACTCTTCAGGATATTATCCAGGAGAACTTTCCCAACCTAGCAATGCAGGCCAATATTCAAATTCAGGAAATACATAGAACACCACAAAGATACTCCCCAAGAAGAACAACCCCAAGACACATAATTGTCAGATTCACCAAGGTTGAAATGAAGGAAAAAATGTTAAGAGAAGCCAGAGAGAAAGGTCAGGTTACCCACAAAGGGAAGCCCATCAGACTAACAGTGGATCTCTTGGCAGAAACTCTACAAGCCAGAAGAGAGTGGGGTCAATATTCAACATTCTTAAAGAAAAGAATTTTTAACCCAGAATTTCATATCCAGCCAAACTAAGCTTCGTAAGTGAAGGAGAAATAAAATCCTTTACAGACAAGCAAATGCTGAGAGATTTTGTCACCACCAGGCCTGTCTTACAAGAGCTCCTGAAGGAAGCACTAAACATGGAAAGGAACAACTGTACCAGCCACTGCAAAAACATGCCAAATTGTAAAGACCATCGATACTAGGAAGAAACCACATCAATTAATGGGCAAAATAACAAGCTAACATCATAATGACAGGATCAAATTCACACATAACAATATTTACCTTAAAAATAAATGGGCTAAATGCTCCAATTAAAAGACACAGACTGGCAAATTGGATAAAGAGTCAAGACCCATCAGTGTGCTGTATTCAGGAGACACATCTCATGCTCAAAGACACACATAGGCTGAAAATAAAGGGATAGAGGAAGATCTACCAAGCAAATGGAGAACAAAAAAAAGCAGGGGTAGCAATCCTAGTCTCTGATGAAACAGACTTTAAACCAACAAAGATCAAAAGAGACAAAGAAGGCCATTACATAATGGTAAAGGGATCAATTCAACAAGAAGAGCTAACTATCCTAAATACATATGCACCCAATACAGGAGCACCCAGATTCATAAAGCAAGTCCTTGGAGACCTACAAAGAGACTTAGACTCCCACACAATAATAATGGGAGACTTTAACACCCCACTGTCAATATTGGACAGATCAATGAGACAGAAGGTTAACAAGGATACCCAGGACTTGAACTCAGCTCTGCACCAAGTGGACCTAATAGACATCTACAGAACTCTTCACCCCAAATCAACAGAATATACATTCTTCTCAGCACCACATTGCACTTATTCCAAAATTGACCACATAGTTGGAAGTAAAGCACTCCTCAGCAAATGGAAAATAGAAATCACAACAAACTATCTCTCAGACCACAGTGCAATCAAATTCGAACTCAGGATTAAGAAACTCACTCAAAACAGCTCAACTACATGGAAACTGAATAACCTGCTCCTGAATGACTACTGGGTAAATACCGAAATGAAGGCAGAAATAAAGATGTTCTTTGAAACCAATGAGAAAAAAGACACAACGTACCAGAATCTCTGGGACACATTTAAAGCAGTGTGTACAGGGAAATTTATAGCACTAAATGCCCACAAGAGAAAGCAGGAAAGATCTAAAATCAATACCCTAGCACCACAATTAAAAGAACCAGAGAAGCAAGAGCAAACAAATTCAAAAGCCAGCAGAAGGCAAGAAATAACTAAGATCAGAGCAGAACTGAAGGAGATAGAGACACAAAAAAACCTTCAAAAAATCAATGAATCCAGGAGCTGGTTTTTTGCAAAGATAAACAGAACTGATAGACCGCTAGCAAGACTAATGAAGAAGAAAAGAGGGAAGAATCAAATAGACACGATAAAAAATTATAAAGGGGATATCACCACCAATCCCATGGAAATACAAACTACCATCAGAGAATACTATAAACACCTCTAAGCAAATAAACTAGAAAATCTAGAAGAAATGGATGAATTCCTGGACACATACACTCTCCCAAGACTAAAGCAGGATGAAGTGGAATTTCTGAATAGACCAATAACAGGCTCTGAAATTGAGCCAATAATTAATAGCCTGCCAACCAAAAAAAGTCCAAGACCAGACGGATTCACAGCCTAATTCTACCAGAGGTACAAAGAGAAGCTGGTACCATTCCTTCTGAAACTATTCCAATGAAAAGAAAAAGAGGGAATCTTCCCTAACTCATTTTATGAGGCCAGCATCATCCTGATACCAAAGTCTGGAAGAGACACAACAAAAAAAAGAGAATTTTAGACCAATATCCCTGATGAAGATCAATGCAAAAATCCTCAATAAAATACTGGCAAACCGAATTCAGCAGCACATCAGAAAGCTTATCCACCATGATCAAGTTGGCTTCATCCCTGGGATGCAAGTCTGGTTCAACATACACAAATCAATAAATGTTAATCCTTCACATAAACAGAACCAATGACAGAAACCACATGTTTATCTCAATAGATGCAGAAAAAGTCTTCAACAAAATTCAACAGCCTTTCATGCTAAAAACTCTCAATAAACTAGGTATTGATGGAGTGTATCTCAAAATAATAAGAGCTATTTATGACAAACCCACAGCCAATATCATACTGAATGGGCAAAAACTGGAAGCATTCCCTTTGAAAACCAGCACAAGACAAGGATGCCCTCTCTCACCACTCCTATTCAACATAGAGTTGGAAGTTCTGGCCAGGGCAATCAGGCAAGAGAAATAAATAAAGGGTATTGAATTAGGAAAAGAGGAAGTCAAATTGTTCCTGTTTGCAGATGACATGATTGTATATTTAGAAAACCCCATCGTCTCAGCCCAAAATCTCCTTAAGCTGATAAGCAACTTCAGCAAAGTCTCAGGATACAAAATCAATGTGCAAAAATCACAAGCATTCTTATACACCAATAACAGACAGACAGAGAGCCAAATCATGAGTGAACTCCCATTCACAATTGCTTCAAAGAGAATAAAATACCTAGGAATCCAACTTACAAGGGATGTGAAGGACCTCTTCAAGGAGAACTACAAACCACTGCTCAATGAAATAAAAGAGGACACAAACAAATGGAAGAACATTCCATGCTCACGGATAGGAAGAGTCAATATCATGAAAATGGCCATACTGCCCAAGGTAATTTATAGATTCAATGCCACCCCATCAAGCTACCAAAGACTTTCTTCACAGAATTGGAAAAAACTACTTTAAAGTTCATATGGAACTAAAAAAGAGCCCACATTGGAGAGACAATGCTAAGCAAAAAGAACAAAGCTGGAGGTATCATGCTACCTGACTTCAAACTATACTACAAGGCAACAATAACCAAAACAGCATGGTACTGGTACCAAAACAGAGATGTAGACCAATGGAACAGAACAGAGGCCTCAGAAATAACACCACACATCTACAACCATCTGATCTTTCACAAACCTGACACACACAAGCAATTCCCTATTTAATAAGTAGTGCTGGGAAAACTGGCTAGCCATATGTAGAAGGCTGAAACTGGATCCCTTCCTTAAACCTAATAAAAAAATTAATTCAAGATGGATTAAAGACTTAAATGTTAGACCTGAAACCATAAAAACCCTAGAAGAAAACCTAGGCAATACCATTCAGGACATAGGCATGGGCAAGGACTTCATGACTAAAACACCAAAAGCAATGGCAACAAAAGCCAAAATAGACAAATGGGGGGGAGGTGGGGCGGAGCGCGGGAGGCCGGTTGAGAGGCGCCCATCCGGCGGTTACCCGGTACTTCATAAAGCCGCTCTCGCCGCTGGCTGTCGCGGCGTCTTGCCTCCGCAGCAGCTCTGGGCTCTTCTCAGCTGCAGGAGCAGCTGCTCCAATGCCCCAGAGTGGCCATGGGCGCCCCGCACTGGTGGGACCAGCTGCAGGCTGGCAGCTCGGAGGTGGACTGGCGCGAGGACAACTACACCATCGTGCCTGCTGTCGCCGAGTTCTATAACATGATCAGCAATGTCTTATTTTTCATTTTACCGCCCATCTGCATGTGCTTGTTTCGTCAGTATGCAACATGCTTCAACAGCGGCATCTACTTAATCTGGACTCTTGGTTGTAGCGGGAATTGGATCCGTCTACTTCCATGCAACCCTTAGTTTCCTGGGTCAGATGCTTGATGAACTTGCAGTCCTTTGGGTTCTGATGTGTGCTTCGGTCATGTGGTTCCCCAGAAGGTATCTACCAAAGATCTTTCGGAATGACCAGGGTAGGTTCAAGGTGGTGGTCTGTGTCCTGTCTGCAGTTATGACGTGCCTGGCATTTGTCAAGCCTGCCATCAACAACATCTCTCTGATGACCCTGGGAGTTCCTTGCGCTGCACTGCTCATCACAGAGCTAAAGAGGTGTGACAACATGCGTGTGTTTAAGCTGGGCCTCTTCTCGGGCCTCTGGTGGACCCTGGCCCTGTTCTGCTGGATCAGTGACCGAGCTTTCTGCGAGCTGCTGTCATCCTTCAACTTCCCCTACCTGCACTGCATGTGGCACATCCTCATCTGCCTTGCTGCCTACCTGGGCTGTGTATGCTTTGCCTACTTTGATGCTGCCTCAGAGATTCCTGAGCAAGGCCCTGTCATCAAATTCTGGCCCAGCGAGAAATGGGCCTTCATTGGTGTCCCCTATGTGTCCCTCCTGTGTGCCAACAAGAAATCATCAGTCAAGACCACGTGATGGCAAGATGGTGGCTGGCTTCTCTGCTTATCGCCCCTCATGCAGTGGGCTTCCTTTGCTAGGAAGACAGCCAAGGGAGTTCAAATAGTTGGGGAGTGGGCTATCTTTTCAAAAATCTATTTGCTGGGGCTCTTAATTTCTTTAGTGTTCTTTGTATGTAGGGATTTAAGCTTTGTCATATGGTACAAATATTCCCTGCCCCCCTGCAGTTTCCCATTTGTCTTTCAGTATGTTAATATTTTTGTGCCATACTGGTTTTAAACTTTCATGTTGTCATATCTGTTAATCTTTTCCTTAGGATTTCTGGATTTTCTGTAATTTTTAAAAAGATCCCCTCCTCCTCACTAATGTGTCTGTGGACTACCTGGATTCCACTGTGCAAGGGGAAAAGTGTCTATTCCTTTCCCAAAAACGGAAAATGGAGGGCTTAGGGACACTAGATGCATCTTTCTCAGCATCACTTCCAGATGCAGTGACTTGTTGGGCTGTGTCCTTAATGGCCATGGCAGAGCAGTCCCTTGGGGGAACCAGCCCTGTACAATGCATCTCTTCCTGGAGAAAGCTGGCCTGCTCCAGACCCCACCATTCCCAGGCGCCCTTGGAGTGGACTCTACTGATGACAGACAGACCCTCTGACAGACAAGACCTTCTGACTCTGTGATGGAAGATGCCAGAGATTTTCCTTTGGGGTAATTGTCCTTAAACAAAACCAAACAGATGAAACACACACAGGACTTGTGGCTAAAAAGACTAGTTTTTCACTTGCATTTCTCAACTAACCCAGGTTTTACATGCATCTGCGAATCCTTTTACTACTACCTCTGTGGAGAGATGGAGAGATGGAGAGACTTCAGATAAACGTGCAGCTAATGAGTAAAACCCTCTCTGCCAAAACCTACACTCCACTTTAGGCCATTCTTGAAGAAGAGCACAATTTTTAAACACTGACATCACTTCCGCTTCCCCTTCCCACCCCAGCTCAGCAGCCTCAAATCCACAGAGAAGAAGACTTATGGCATGAACATTCCCACAGACCCACCATCTTTAAGACTTGACCTCCATTAAGTTTACCAAAGGGCTCCTCACAATTGTGGTGGGGGTTCTGGTTCAAAATTTGGAGCAAACATGAAGTTTTTGGAAACTTTTTCTCATTCGAAGCCTCCAGTATGCTGTACTATTCTGGAAATTACCCTCAAGAGTCTCACTTCTTGTTTCTGTTGTGTTTTCTGTGGGCATCATGCTCTTCACTCTTGCAGTAGAAGGTGCTTTCTGGATTTCCCAGAGTATCCAATGGCTCACTTTTCTCAAGTGCTGGCAGTAACTATGCACTCGTGGGCTGGTTTGGGTCGCTGGTGCAGCAGCGCAAATCTGTTGCCTTCTGAATTTTTCTCACCTACTGTGACACCGGCTACAATGAATCTTCTCTTCATCGGGCTGAATGAAAGATTCAAGAACCGTCTTCAAGGTGCATGGTGGGAATTATCAACCTCAGGGATACTCATTTTAACTCAGGTGTGTCCTGCTTTGTAACATTCCATTGTTGAGAGAGGGCAGGACAGGTGTGTTCTTGTGTGGGCAGGAGTGATGTCACTGTCCTACATATGTAAGAGTTGGGAAGGTGACGATTTTTGACACATCCAGGAACTCTTACTCTAGTTAGAATTTGTACAAGATCCAAGGTGAAAACCCCAATAAGCAACTGAATTTAGAGTTTAAAAATGAATAACTTTATGCTACATCTGTGGTTATCAAATTGTATAGGTTGTTCAGGAGCAGAATCCTGTTTGTAGTAAGAAATCTTTGTGGAACCCCAGTGTGTGAAATAAATTGTATTTTATTAACTTAAAAAAAATAGACAAATGGGATCTAACTAAACTAAAGAGCTACTGCACAGCAAAAGAAACTACCATCAGATTGAACAGGCAACCTATAGAATGGGAGAAAATTTTTGCAATCTACCCATCTGACAAAGGGCTAATACCCAGAATCTACAAAGAACTTAAACAAATTTACAAGAAAAAAATCAAACAGCCCTATCAAAAAGTAGGCAAAGGATATGAAGAAACACTTTTCAAAAGAAGGCATTTATGCAGCCAACAGACATATGAAAAAAAGCTCATCATCACTGGTCATCAGAGAAATGCAAATCAAAACCACAATGTCATACCAACTCACGCCAGTTAGAATGGTGATCATTAAAAAGTCAGGAAACAACAGATGCTGGAGAGGATGTGGAGAAGTAGGAACGCTTTTACACTGTTGGTGGGAGTGTAAATTAGTTCAACCATTGTGGAAGACAGTGTGGCGATTCCTCAAGGATCTAGAACTAGAAATACCATTTGACCCAGCCATCCCATTACTGGGTATATACTGAAAGGATTATAAATCATGCTACTATAAAGACACATGCACATGTATGTTTATTGTGGCACTATTCACAATAGCAAACACTTGGAACCAACCCAAATGTCCATCAATGATAGACTGGATTAAGAAAATTTGGCACATATACACCATGGAACACTATGCAGCCATAAAAAAGGATGAGTACATGTCCTTTTTAGGGACTTGGATGAAGCTGGAAACCATCATTCTGAGCAAACTATCACAAGGACAGAAAACCAAACACCACATGTTCTCACTCATAGGTGGGAATTGAACAGTGAGAACACTAGGACACAGGGAGGAGAATGTCACACATTGGGGCCTGTCCTGGGGTGGGAGGCTGGGGGAGGGATAGCATTAGGAGAAATACCCAATGTAAATGACGAGTTAATGGGTGCAGCAAACCAACATGGCACATGTATACATATGTAACAAACCTGCACGTTGTGCACATGTACCCTAGAACTTAAAGTATAATAATAAAAAAAAGAAAGAAATGAAAAAGTTATAATGACCTGAACTGGAGTCAAATATGCATTATGGATTCATCTGTTATTTGGAATGGCCCTTTGTGTTTAAGTCAAACTATGATTGCAGTATGTCAGGTGGAAAAGTCACTGGTAAATACTAAGAGTAAAATATGAGTCATCCCAATTGATATTGGCTATAACTCAACCAAAATGGGGGATGTCCAGAAATATAGTCAATCGGTGATGGGAGAGAGGTGTGATAATGAGTCTTTTTACTATTATAGGAATCCATTTGTCTCATCAATCACCTTCCATGTGCAGAAAGCTAAGGGGAATAATACCATCTCCTTAAGAAAGTGACAGATCAAGACAAAGCACACACACTTATTGAGAACCAGTTTACACAGTATAGAAAGGTCCTGTTAATTATGTTACTTCTCCTGATACCTTCCTTAATAAACACCCTGAGGTTACTAGGATAACATGAGGAAGTCGGAGCCTAGTCTGACTAATGGATACTCAGGAAACTTTATTGATTTCATGATACCAAGCTCCAGGACTCAACTTTGATAAAGGTTATATGAAGTATTAGATTGGTGCAAAAGTAGTTGCGGTTTTTGCCATTAGTTTGAATGGGGAGAAAAAAACCCACACAATTACTTTTGCAGCAACCTAGTATGTCCCTGTCCATGGCACAGTACTTTTCACAATTCCTGCCCAGTTCAGTTTCTCCCTCCTATTGTTACCAGACCCCACCACTCACCCAAGTTAGCCTTTGGGTCGGGGTTTTCCTTAGTATTGTCGCTTCCTGGTCGCCAGAAAGATGTTGCCGGACCCCATGGGTCGGTATGGACATGAAGCAACAATACTAAGGAAACCCCCGACCGAAAGGCTAACTTGGGTGAGTGGGGGGGTCCAGTAACCTCTTTCTGGTGAACCACTGAAGGGACTATAGTGCGGAAATCCCCGACCCAAAGGCTCACTTTGGATAAGTGGGGGGGGGTCTGGTAACGTCTTTATGGCGAACCATGTTAGGGATGATACTGAAGGAAACCCCCAACCCCCACCCCCACCCCCACCCAAAGGAAATAGACTGCAGCACTGATTGGCCGATTTGGGGTAAGTGGTGGGGTACCCGGGTAAATGATGAGATTGGGTTAGAGGCCCAATTTAGGACCATGTTTAGCATATCATCAAGAAACAACCATAAAAATGGGCAACCAGGGCCGGACGCAGCGGCTCACGCCTATAATCCCAGCACTTTGGGAGGCCGAGGTGGGTGGATCACAAGGTCAGGAGATTGAGACCATCCTGACTAACACGGTGAAACCCCGTCTCTACTAAAAAAAAAAAAAAAAAAAAAAAAAAAAAATTAGCCGGGCCTGGTGGCACGTGCCTGTAGTCCCAGCTACTCGGGAAGCTGAGGCAGAAGAATGGGGTGAACCCGAGAGGCAGAGTTCGCAGTGAGCCGAGATCGAGCCGCTGCACTCCAGCCTGGGCGACAGAGTGAGACTCCGTCTCAAAAAAAAAAAAAAAAAAAAGGCAACCAGCAGCTCTCGGGACTGCTCTGTCTATGGAGTAGCTATTCTTTTATTCCTTTGCTTTCTTTGCTTTCCCAATAAACTTGCTTTCACTTTACTCTATCAACTTGCCCTGAATTCTTTCTTGCGTGAAATCCAAGAACCCTCTACTGAGGTCTGCATCCGGACCCCTTTCCAGTAACACTGTCATCATTCAAACCACACCCAATAATAATTAGGAAGACTATTGTCAGGAGAGACTGCAAATATAATTTCCTTCAATTCAGTTTGGGTTTTTTTTTTTTTTTGGATGGGGGGGTAGGTGTTCAGGGAACACATCTTTTTTTTCCAGTTATACTGAAGTATAACAAATAAAAATTATATATATACATATATTTACAGTACACGCGATGTTTTGATATGTGTCTAATTGTGAAATGACTACCACAATCAGGCTAATTAACATGCTCATCACTTCACATATATTTTTTGTTTGTAGTGAGAACATTTAATTAAGATCTACTCCTAAACAAACTTCAAGTATAAAATAACAGTATTTTTAACTGTAGTCACCTAGTCACCATGCTGTGTATTAGACGTATGGAACTTATTTTCCTTCAATTCAGTTTTGTTCATCTTGTGGAGTCTTATCCATTGTTTTCTTTTGGGAGACCCTTGTACCTACCCATTAGCTGTGGAGAAACTCCCAGACAGGTCTATATCCTCGCACAGCCTGAATCATATTGCATCTCCAACATCCAATAAATACTAACTTTACATAAATCCTAAGGACACTATTTAACTATACACCAAACATTAAAACAAAAAAAGATAAAGAACATCTCTTGGTGTTGGCCACTAAAATCCATTTTACCTTCTTCTGGTAAGTGAAATTTTTCAGAACTCGTCTTTCACCTACTTTCAATATGTGAGCTTCAGAAAAGTTGAGCCCACAGCATGGTCCAGGGGTGGGCATATAACCTGGGCTTAGCTAGTTGGAACCACACTGGCCACAGTAATTGGTCCATTGATGGGTCTATTATTCACTTAAGCTCACTGAGCTAATTCTACACATTTGCTAGAGCAACTGGGAGAGGGGCTTCCTTCCCACCTTCCCACCATAAGAGGGAGTTTGCTTGAGAAAAAAGCCAATATAGAAGAAAGCAAAGCTGATAGCTGAAGAAAGAGAGCTTGGTAACATCTACTCTTGAACTTTCCAGGTAGGTGAATCAAGAAATTCTCCCTCATACTTAAAATATATTTGAGTTGGGTTTTCTATGATTAAAACTGAAAGTTTTCTGACATAAAGACATTTAAAAAATTTTAAGACACGGAGGAATGTCAATGTGGCTATGGATTAGTCTAAGATATAAAAGGGATATGGGGACCCACTTGGAACCCTACAGTTGGTATGAAAATTATTTTAAGCTGAAGATATTTGAGATTTAACAGACATGGAAAGAAGACTTTTAGGAGCTTCCCTCACATGACTAAAAGCAGCAACTTGTGGGAAAAGAGGCTTCCATATACTCCTTCTTTAGAGCAAGTCTACTCCCAAGAAGAAAACTGAGAGTACATGTACCATAAATCTCCTCTCTGGAGGAGTTTCATGGCCATGAAGAAGACAAAAAGACTGAGAGTTCCTGCATAAACAAACGTGATCATAAACTTTCTTATCTCCTACTTGTTCTCCTAAAACCCATTTTTCTTTCCTAAAGAAATCTATTTGTTCTTCCCATAGAAGTCTTTTCTACCGCCTCCCTTTTTCCTAAAGGGGTAGGTATATAAACTTATTAAAATTATTTATCAGGCTAGCTACTTCTTTTGTTAGTTCTATATGCCTATGAATAACAAGCCTTTTCCTCTTGTTTGTCTGTCTTTTGTCGGTTTAATTTACAGGCCCCCTGTTATTGAACATAAAAGGGTAGAGGAAAAGTCTTTTCCTCCTGACAAAGACAAAAGGAAGAGGATAAATGCTGAGGTATCCATGAGCTGCCAACTCTGGGTACCCAGTTCCCAGTTCCACCTGCATAGCCACCTTTAATCAGGGTAACGGACAATAAGCAGACCAAGTCAAAGAAACATGCCATTTAAAAACAAAAAAAAAGAGTAGTAATTTTTACATTAAAAAAATGTGGCCAGGCATGATGGCTCGCATCTGTAATCCCAGCACTTTGGGAGGCCAAGGTGGGTGGATTGCTTGAGCCCAAGCGTTCTAGGTCAGGCTGAGCAACATAGTGAGACTCCATCGCTACAAAAAATACAAAAATTAGCCAGGTGTGGTGGCACACGCCTGTAGTCCCAGCTACTCAGGAAGCTGAGGCAGGAGGATCTCTTGAGCCCGGGAAGCAGAGGTTGCAGTGAGCCATGATTGCATCACTGCACTCTAGCCTGGGCAACAGAGGGAGACCTTGTCTAAAAAAAAAAAAAAAAAAAAAAAAAGTTAATGATTTTCAAGTACTTATGGATATTTACTTAAACAATTTCTTAAGTTGACATTTCACCACTTTGTGAACTCCAAAGAATGCGTTATCTGAAAGTACACTAAAGCATCTATCATTCCTTAGGAAATGGCCATCATCTGATTCCTAACTGGTCTACTATTTATATGTTTTGCTGACTCATGGTTCTACCTGAGGCTGAGGGCTTCCAAACTGGCTACTGGGCACTTCAGTCTAAAATCTCAGAAAAAAACTGATCATCCCCATTCCCTGATCACTCCCAACCTCCCAACATCTATATCCCCTAGTGATTATCTGATCTGTAAATTTCCTTTTATTTGAATGCCGAATCTGTCCCAGAAATACTTCCAAGCCGTGGAACATTCTATGACCAGCTGGAATTAAAGTTACGCTAACAAAGATCTTGGCACCTTCTCTTGCAGTTTGTAAAGTTATATACAATAGTCCTTCCTGGATCTCTAAGGTCTACTCTATCTTTATTTCCATAGTAGATATTTTTAATCCCTAGAAATTACAAAATAAAATAATGTTTATAAATTGATGCCAAATTTTAAAACAAGCTATCTATAAATGCTTGGTCCAGAAATAAAGCAAATTATTAGTAAAATTTCCCTATATGCCCCCTTTGGATAATTTTCTACATCCTCCTGGCGTTCTGAAAGTCTTCATCACAATTCCCCAGGAGGGGACATCTTCTGGGCTGCTCTCTCTGGTTTTACTTTTGTCTCTTTTTTCCACTCTCTTTCCCCATTTTTTTCTTGTTCAATGTCTTGATCTCCAGATTCTGTTCTTTGTTTGCCAAATTAATTTGTAGATGAATTCTTATGTGACACAATTGCATTTTAATGTGGATATTCTAAAGAAAACATCTTAATCTACATGAATTGGAATTTCAGGCAAGATGGAAAGTGACAGAGATGCAATTTGGGGACAGAGATGCCATTCAAGTGCCTGCTCCTCAAATCATATCTAGAAGTATGTGTATATTCCACTGGCCCTACCTTTGCCCATCAGGTAACATTATTGATCAAGATCTAGCAGGAGAAGCAGCAGCCTCAAGAGAATTGAAGCATCCACCTTCCTTGTAGAATTCATCTTTTTCTGACCATACTTAGAACAATCATTTTGCAGATTTTTTAAAAAATTCTTGCTTTCAAGTTGCATCAGAAAGACTATTATGTATTTTTTTTAAAAACAAGAAGGAAATATACATGTCCATGCCAGGGCAAAGCTCTTTTTTTCCCTACCAAAACCCCAGGCCACAGGACCCTCTAAATAGCAGCCACAGATGGCTCTCTCTGTTTCTCTCTCCCACTTTCTGGCTTCTGTAAATCTAAAATAAAATTCTAAGCCCCCAAACCATCTAAATGGACCCCTCCTCTCAGCTAAGGTCATTCCAAAGTTAACCTAAAAAACCAGTTCAGGCCATAATGGGAAGTGGGGGTCAGACATGCCTCATTATACTCTCCTCTCTTTTGGAATTCAGGCATAGCTGACCAGCATTAACATCAACACAGAGACCTTAAGACTGACAGAACAGACATCTAGGAAGTGAGGAGTGTCTCTGCCCGGCCGCCCATCGTCTGAGATGTGGGGAGCGCCTCTGCCCCGCCGCCCCCTCTGGGACGTGAGGAGCGCCTCTGCCCGGCCGAGACCCCGTCTGGGAGGTGAGGAGCGTCTCTGCCCGGCCGCCCCATCTGAGAAGTGAGGAGACCCTCTGCCTGGCAACCACCCCGTCTGAGAAGTGAGGAGCCCCTCCACCCGGCAGCTGCCCCGTCTGAGAAGTGAGGAGCCTCTCCGCCCGGCAGCCACCCCATCTGGGAAGTGAGGAGCATCTCCGCCCGGCAGCCACCCCGTCCGGGAGGGAGGTGGGGCGGGTCAGCCCCCCGCCCGGCCAGCCGCCCCATCCGGGAGGGAGGTGGGGGGTCAGCCCCCCCGCCCGGCCAGCCATGCCATCCGGGAGGGAGGTGGGGGGTTCAGCCCCCCGCCTGGCCAGCCGTGCCATCCGGGAGGGAGGTGGGGGGGTCAGCCCCCCGCCCGGCCAGCCGCCCCGTCCGGGAGGTGAGGGGCGCCTCTGCCCGGCCGCCCCTACTGGGAAGTGAGGAGCCCCTCAGCCCGGCCAGCCACCCCGTCCGGGAGGGAGATGGGGGGGTCAGCCCCCCGACCCGGCCAGCCGCCCCGTCTGGAAGGGAGGTGGGGGGGTCAGCCTCCGCCCGGCCAGCCGCCCCGTCTGGGAGGTGAGGGGCGCCTCTGCCCGGCCGCCCCTACTGGGAAGTGAGGAGCCCCTCTGCCCGGCCAGCCGCCCCGTCCGGGAGGGAGGTGGGGGGGTCAGCCCCCCACCTGGCCAGCCGCCCCGTCTGGGAGGGAGGTGGGGGGGTCAGCCTCCGCCCGGCCAGCCGCCCCGTCTGGGAGGTGAGGGGCGCCTCTGCCCGGCCGCCCCTACTGGGAAGTGAGGAGCCCCTCTGCCCGGCCAGCCGCCCCATCCGGGAGGGAGGTGGGGGGGTCAGCCCCCCGCCCGGCCAGCCGCCCCGTCCGGGAGGGAGGTGGGGGGGGTCAGCCCCCCCGCCCGGCCAGCCGCCCCGTCCGGGAGGGAGGTGGGGGGGGTCAGCCCCCCGCCCGGACAGCCGCCTCGTCCGGGAGGTGAGGGGCGCCTCTGCCCGGCCGCCCCTACTGGGAAGTGAGGAGCCCCTCTGCCCGGCCACCACCCCGTCTGGGAAGTGTGCCCAACAGCTCATTGAGAACGGGCCAGGATGACAATGGCTGCTTTGTGGAATAGAAAGGCGGGAAAGGTGGGGAAAAGATTGAGAAATCGGATGGTTGCCGTGTCTGTGTAGAAAGAAGTAGACATGGGAGACTTTTCATTTTGTTCTGCACTAAGAAAAATTCTTCTGCCTTGGGATCCTGTTGATCTGTGACCTTACCCCCAACCCTGTGCTCTCTGAAACATGTGCTGTGTCCACTCAGGGTTAAATGGATTAAGGGCGGTGCAAGATGTGCTTTGTTAAACAGATGCTTGAAGGCAGCATGCTCCTTAAGAGTCATCACCAATCCCTAATCTCAAGTAATCAGGGACACAAACACTGTGGAAGGCCGCAGGGTCCTCTGCCTAGGAAAACCAGAGACCTTTGTTCACTTGTTTATCTGCTGACCTTCCCTCCACTATTGTCCCATGACCCTGCCAAATCCCCCTCTGTGAGAAACACCCAAGAATTATCAATAAAAAAATAAATTAAAAAAAAAAAAAAAAAAAAGACTGACAGAACAGACTCTTTAAGTCTGATAAGAAACATTTACAATCTATTCCCTTCTATTGATGCTATCTGCATAATGGGAACCCTGGTCTCCACAATGCTTTATCTTAACCCAGACATTGCCTTCCATTGATTCTAAGTCTTCAGACAATAATATAACTCTTCCAACCAATTGCCAATCAGAAAATCTTTTAATCTACCTATGACCTGGAAGCCCCTGCTTTGAGTTATCCTGCCTTTTGGGACTGAACCAATGTACGTCTTACATATGTTGATCGATGTCTTATATCTCCCTAAAATGTGAAAAACCAAGCTGTAGCCTGACCACCTTGGGCACATGTTCTCAGGATCTCCTGGGGGCTGTGTCACAGACCACTGGTCACAACGAAGAGCTGAACTGTTCGTTGACATTTCCATTCTCTATTTCCAAATTTCTTGATGTTTTTTGCCCATCCTGGGGCTTCCATGTGGACCTTCGCTCCCTACCCTGTCTCCTCAGATTGCTGGCTCGGGTGGACTTCCAGCTTTGATGGCCATTTCTTAGGACACTGTCTTGTGGTGATTGGTTCCCTTCAGCTCCAAGCACTATGGCTCGCCTGGCAAGTCCCGCCTTGCTATGAATCTACCGAGCTAAGGAAAACACAAGTGTATATTAGTGAGCCACACACATATTCTTCTGAAAGCAAAAACGATTTCAATGAACTTCCTCTCAACTGAAAAGCAGAAAAACATGAAAATGACACTAATTCAGGCTAAATACAGCCTACATGATGAATGAAAATATGGAATTCATTTTTAAATGAAATGTTTTCCTTTTATATATAGTAACTTAAATCAGGCTTAACATTTTATCAGATATAGGTTCTTTAGAATCTGTTTTTTTTTTTAATTTTAAGTTCAGGGGTACATGTGTAGGATGTGCAGATTTGTTACATGGGTAAACGTGTGTCATGGTGATTTGCTGCACCTATCAACCTATCACCTAGATATTAAGCCCAGCATGCATTAGCTCTTTTTCCTGATACTCTCCCTCCCCACCCTCCTGACAGGTTCCAGTGTGTGTTTAAATGCATAAAATAAGAGTTTTTATTCATTTAAATGACCTGTTTAAATGAATAAAATAAGACTTTTATTTGCAACCCGCCCACTCCAGAGCTCCCCACTTCTCTTACCCTGTTTCTTTTCTTTTTTTCCCCAAAAGCACCATCACTTTTAGAAACACTAGATGATTTAATTATTTATTTTTGTTCACTATGTGCCCTCGCTAGAATATAAGCTCAAGAGCCATGAGATTCTTTGTGTTTTTCACTGATGTATGCCAAACACCTAGAACAGCACTCGGCACATTACACATCTCAAGTAGAATTGATTGACTGAATGAATGAGAATTAGCCGGTCAAATCTAAGTATACAAAAAGGGCTTGAGAGACTTCAGTTTTTTCCATTTCCCCAGTAAATTTTTTTAGTATTATTCATTGACATATAACTTTTGTTGCTAGGTCCAAATAATCACTTCTTGTTCTTCTTTATCCCCTTAAAGACCTGAAAACATAATTTTTAAATCACTTGATAGTTTTATATTATTTTGTATTTCATTAGGAGCGGATTCTTCTCCTGATTGATGATTTTGTTACTGTCTTTTTTAGTGGTAGTTTTCCTAATGGAAACTATTTATATTTGGGTTGGTAGACTCATCTTGGGTGGAGCTGTTTGTGTTGTAGTTTTGTTTGGGTTGTTTACGTGATCTCTGGTCACCTCTCCCTGTGTATAAGTTTTGCAGTTGCCTCCACTCAGCCCCCAGGGAGAACTTTAGCATGCAAATTCAGAACCAGGTCTTGTTTGGAAGTATGCTGCTCCTAGCCCAGAGTGATGGGACTATTGTAGATCTAGTTACTGAGCCAAATAGATCCTGCTGCTTGGCTTGCTCTATTTCCTCCCGTTCCCTACAGAGATTCAGCTTTATAAAGCCGCAGCTTCAAGCAGTGATCAGAGTGGTTTCAACCTCCTTTCATGGTCAGGCAGGCCCACCTAGCCTTTGGTTTTACACAGTGATGCTGGCTCTGGTGCCCCACCACATGTGGGCCACTTTGGTTTTCATTGCCCTGCAGGAGTCACCCTCCTCACTCTGCCTATTTCTGGACCTACAGCCCAGCAGGCCTATACTGCAGTCCAGCTTACCACTGAGTGTTTCCATTTCTGGCCCATGAAAATGTTGAGCTTTGGGGGTTTTTCCACAGCTATGTCTATTAAGTTTGGAGCAGAGAAGAAAATTTTAAAGATATACACACAACACCACTTGATGGGGAAGTATGGAAAGAAGACAAAGAAGGGTGCAGCTATAGACAAATCTGTAGATCAGGGATCAGAAATTGAAGAACATCACAGTTTTGCTTAAGGACGGCCCCGCTTTCAAAGACACAAAAATAATCTAATCAAAGGTAGCAGGTATGTCAGCTGAGGAATGAATGATGCCCAAACGCATATTCACTGTAAGATTCTAATACACAGACATTCAAAGAAGAGGAGGAAGGAGACAAAACGGAATTGCCAGGATGTCAATCAATCCATGCAGTTGTCCAGGGTCCCTGCTTGTCAACTCTCATGACCTTAAACCCAGTTAGAAGGAACGTGATCAGGAGATTAATTGTGATACTAAATTCCAAATTTCATTGAAAAGTCCATCACTCCTATACACACTGGTGCTGCTTCTTGCACAATTCAGAAATTTGCACTGAGGCTCTCACCAATCCCCAGGAATTTCTTAGGTTCTTTTCTTCCTATTTGTGTTCATTCTGCATTTTAAAAACTTCTTCATTTGCTTTTATATTTATCTTCATATTCTTGGTGCCCAAATGCAGCACAACATATAAACTGAGCTGGAGCCCCAAGAGAGCAGGCTCTGCCTTCTTGCAACAGTGCTCTGCCTATTTACAAGAGGCATCTCCAAACACCCTATGTTCTTGGCCTTATATTTCCCCTAGACCCAATTTCCTGCTTCTCTCTATTTCTCTAACTCCCACCAGATACCATGGTTGGCTGGGTGGATGGTTTGTTGGTTTGTTTTAAGTCTGATGATGTCGTTTATGCTGAAGATGCTACTGTTTTATACTTTGGAAATGTTTCATCCTAACAGTCCTCCTCCCTAGGTTAGATTTTCCCTCTGCCTCCACGCTTATGTCAGCTGGAGAATCCTCCCATCAACACATTTCTGAAGTGGAGTTATTGTTGGTGATGTTTCTCAAGTCTTTAGTGGTGCAGGAAAAAACAACATGTCTTCTTCTATGTGTTTTCTAGCTTCTGTTCAGACCAACAGAAATAGTGCTTTCCTGACCTCATTTATTTATTATTTTATTATTGTTATACTTTAAGTTTTAGGGTACATGTGCACAACGTGCAGGTTTGTTACATATGTATACATGTGCCATGTTGGTGTGCTGCACCCATTAACTTGTCATTTAGCATTAGGTATCTTGACCTCTTTTTCTGCAGCAGCACAACCTCTTTACTCCTATTGTTCCATATCTTTTCCGCCCCTCCCCCAAGGATGCCCTATCTCTCTTTCTCTCTCACACGTTCTCGCTCTGTCGCCCAGACTGGAGCAGTCACGGCTCATTGCAGCCTCTAACTCCTGGGGTCAAGCAATCCTCCCTGCTTAGCCACCTGAGTAGCTAGGACTACAGGCACACACCACCACTCCCAGTTGATTTAAGATTCCCTATCTCTTTCGGGTAGATTCACATATTTTCCCAAACTTCATCTATTCCTAATGTAATGTCATTCCTTCTCTACAACATGTAAGCTTATACCATTTGTCTAATCGATGTCATCCTTCCCAGTATATTCTCTTCCCACTTAACCTCAAGGAAAAAAGTCTATTCTTAAAGCTAGTCCTGTTTCCCTTCATGTTTCAGATTCACCACTTCCAAAGCCCAAGCAATACTTTTCTGATCCTCTATCAAATTTTGAATCTTTCTTCTTCATCTATAGTTTTTCTTCTGCCTCTGAGCAAACATAATATCTATAGCCAGAGTGTTCTGGCACCAGAGGCCTTTATATTTTCCAAGATGACAAATTCATGTATAGAAAGGGTCTACTTAAAATATGTATGTGTGTGTGTGTATAGAAAGAGATATATTTAGATCAATATAAATGAATATTCTTACAAATATGTGGTAAAGAGGATTTCTTAAACAAGAATCAAAAAGCAAAATGAAAAACAAGCCCCCCAAAATGAGAAACTAAGCCGATCAACTTGATTGCACTAACATTTAGGCCTGTATGACCAAAGACTCCATGAAAAAAGCTGAAAGCTAAGCAAAGCTGATTAGGAGAAAGTATATGCAGCATACTTAACAAAAGATCATCTCATAGATTAATAAGAAAAAATCAGACAATGTAATAGAAATCTGAATAGAGATTATAAACAGATGATTCACGAAAGAGAAAATGCAAATGGCCAATAAACATGAAAAGATGCTCAATCTCACTAGAAACCAGGGAAATGCAAAGTAAAACAATGACATACTGTTTCTCTCCCTTAGATTGGCACAAAGGTTTAATTTTATTTATGAATTTTTACAAGGTTTTCAGGAACTGGGTACTCTCAGATACTGCTGTGGGAATATAAATTGGTTCAAGTAATTTGCACATAGCCTAGAACCCAGCAGTTCCACATATAGATTTCTATTTGAGAGAAACTCTGGCACATATTCACTTTGTAGACACTTATTCAAAGGTTCCAGGCAGCACTGTTTGTAACAGACAAGTATTAGTAGCAATAACAGTTAAAAGGAATATACTAGATCTATTTGTATCAACATGGATAAATCTCAAACATCACTGCTAATTGAAAAAGGCAAGCTGTAGAATAAAATGCATATGACACCATTTTGTCAAACACACACATACTGATGATACTAAAATGATATTCTGAAAACTCATAATACTGGTTACCTCTTGACCTCTTTTTCTACAGCAACACAATCTAATGCTTTACTCCTGTTGTTCCATATCCATTTCCCCCTAAGGATTCCCTATCTCTCTCACTCTCTCTGTATTAGTCTGCTCTCACACTGCTGATAAAAAATACCCAAGACTGGGTAATTTATACAGAAAAAGAGGCTTAATAGACTCACAGTTCCACGTGGCTGGGGAGGCCTCACAATCATGATGGAAGTTGAGGAGGAGTGAGTCACATCTTATATGGATGGCATCAGGCAAAGAGAGAGAGAGCTTGTGCAGGGAAACTCTCCCTTATAAAATCATTTCAAAACCAATCATGCCTTCCAAACTCTTAACTCATTTCAGCATTAACTCAGAAGTCCATAGTCCAAAGTCTCATCTGAGACAAAGCAAGTATCTTCCACCTATGAGCCTGTAAAATCAAAAGCAAGTTAGTTACTTCCTACATACAATGGGGTACAGGCATTGGGTAAATGAAGCCATTCCAAATGGGAGAAATTGGCCAAAACAAAGGGGCTACAGACCCCATGCAAGTCCAAAACCCAGCAGGGCAGTCAAATCTTTTTTTTGTTTTGTTTTGTTTTGAGACAGAGTGTGTCACTCTGTCTTGCCCAGGCTGGAGTGCAGTGGAATGGTTTCAGCTCACTGCAGCCTCTGCCCCCTGGGTTCAAGCAATTCTCCTGTCTCCGCCTTCCAAGAAGCTGGGATTACAGGTGTGTGCCACCACACCTGGATAATTCTGTATTTTTAGTTGAGACGGGGTTTCACCATGTTGGCCAGGCTGGTTTCGAGCTCCTGACCTCCAGTTATCCACCCACCTAGACCTTCCAAAGTGCTGGGATTACAGGCGTGACCCACCGTGCTTGGCCTCAAATCTTAAACCTGCAAGATGATCTCCTTTGACTCCATGTCTCACATCCAGGTCAGACTGATGCAAGAGGTGGGTTCTCATGGTCTTAGGCAGCTCTGCCCCTGTGGCTTTGCAGGGTACAGCCCCACTCCTGGTACCAATTTACTGTATTAGTCTCTTCTCATGTTGCTGATAAAGACATACACAAGACTGGGTAATTTATACAGAAAAGGGAGGTTTAATGAACTTACATTTCCACATGGCTAGGGAGGCCTTACAATCATGACAGAAGGCAAGGAATAGCAAATTACATCTTACATAGATGGCAGCAGGCAAAGGGAGAGAGAGCTTGTGCAGGGAAACTCTCCCTTATAAAACCATCAGATCTCATGAAACTTATTCACTATCATGAGAACAGCATGGGAAAGACCTACCCCCATGATTCACTTACCTCCCACCCAGTCCCTCCCACAATACGTGGGAATTCAAGATGAGATTTGGGTGGGGACACAGCCAAAACATATCACTCTCTCTCTCTTTTTTTTGGGGGGGTGGGGAGGGAACAGCAGCTCATTCTCTTGCCCAGGCTGGACTGCAGTGGTGCGATCATAGCTCATTGCATGATCTATGGGAAGAAATACATATCACAAGTAGTAAGTAGAAGAACAATAGCTAACATTTATTAAGTGCTTCTACATGCCATATGGTGTTTAAGTGCTTTACAAATATTATTACATTTAATCCTTAAAATCACCCTATGAGTTAGGCATTAATATCCATCCTCCAGATAAGAAAATCAGGCATAGTCAGGTTAAGTAACTTGCATAAAGTTGCACAGCCAGTTAATTAGTTTAATTTGAACCTAAGCAATCTGGCTCCAGCCCTTCCTTACTACTCTATTGTAATGCCTGGGATATGGCATCAGGGTCGTTGGATAGTGCTCAAAGATGACTTAATGGCAGCTTTAGCTGTAGGCTTCCAGTTTTTTGGAAGAAGAAGGTATTTGGAAATCATTTATATAGTTAAAAATCAATTTTAAATAGGAAAAGCAATTATTGATAAATCTTAAATGCAACCACCTCCAAAAGGAAAAGAGGCATGAATGAACAAAAAGAAAGGAAGAAAGAGAAGAAAGAAAGAAAATGGCTTTTACGGATCTTCATTTGTCTAGTGATGAATTTCATAACTCTGATTTATTGAATAATTTTAGTGCTCAAAAATCCCTGCCATTATCAGGATTCATCTCAGCCCAGGGGGAACAAAAGGAGATAAGAAGGTAAACAAATCCCTGGGGTTGTTCCTCCTGTCCATCAATGCCAGCACCACCAGTCCAAAATTGTCTACAGTGAAGTTTTGTCTGTTTTGAGACAAGCCTTCCTTTGCCCTTGAAATTAATTCCTAACCTACTACAATCAGTTCTGTCTCATCACCCAGAGGATGTTACCTGGCCCACAGTCATCCTTATTGTTTGTCTATAATGGAAAGAAAAGGCAATTCCAATCAAATTGCAATTAAAGCAAGGAAATAATGAAAAGTTTTTCTTCTTCTTAGAAACCATCCATTGCCCCCCAAGACCTTCCAGGGGGCAGCAGGGCACAAAGGTCTCAGTAAAGCCCTCAAACTGTTTCATCACCCAGTTGAATAGGAAATCAGTTTTCCTAAAAAGCCAATCAAGGGGGGAAAAAAAACTACAAAATGAGCTATAAAAGAAATTTTGCCACCAGGAACCATATTTAACCTTTCCTTTAGCAAAGAGAAAGTTCCAGGCCCAAGCATAGTGACCTAAACCGTGTTCCTGGACTTGACCAATCCAATATTAGTAATCAACTACTTTGTGGGTGGAGTAATAGCTGAGGGAAGTGAGATTTGAGCTCCCCCACGTGGCAGAAGCCTTCCATTAACCCTGAAGGGGGTGAATGGATTTTTTCAGACTAGCCTAGATTTCTCAGGTCTATGTGCAATTCACTTATCTTCTTGGGATATAAGTTTTTTATAGCATTTTCTGAAATAACATCTTGTGATAAGACTTCTTGCCCTATTACACTGAATACTGCAGTGATTGTGAGTGGGATTAGCCCAGAATATCTTCTCCATAATAGACAGAATGATCTGTTTATTTCTATCTGTTTTTGCCAACCCACACTACACTTTTTGTGTGAACTCATTTTTTTTAGCAAGTTTTTATTTTCAGGGCCGTGTTACAACTAATTTAGTATCTGATTTTCCAAACATTCTATGACGAAGGAGAAAAATAACTCTAGCATGTGTTGTTCTCTCTAAGGTGGTACTTAAAATAGGGCACATAGTCCTATGAATAAGAATAAAATAAACCCTATTGGGTTTGATACATATTCTTCAACCCTCAAAACACCTTGGTAATACAAAACACAGAACTTCTTGGCCACAGCTTGCAGTATTTTTTCCTCCTCTGTCTTAGGAACTCCTTCCAGATATAGAATAAGCCTTGAATTTGCCAGCTCTTCTTGCTACTGCAGCATATTTTCTCATTCCCAAGAAAATATTCTTTCTCTTAAAGAGTAAAATGACAAAAATTAAAAGTCAAACCACAAACTGGGGAAATATTGCACTTATATATGATAAAGCACTTACATAAAACTATCTGAGAAAGACTACCTTCCTAATACATAAAAGAATATAACAATTATTTCCCAGAGAGGAAACGCTGATGCACAACAAAATTTGGAAATGCTTAACCCTCTAGAGAAAGTTTAAAAATACAAATTAGAATAATATAGCACCTTTTTTCTATTATACTAACAAAGACATTTAAAATGGAGAATGTTCTATCTACATACAGTAGAACAGACACCAGATAATTTGCTTTTAAAATCGATTTGGAAAAATACCAAGAGCAGCCTTAAAAATATTCATACCCTTTGATCTCTGGGGTTAATATTAAGAACATAATACAAAATAAGGGAAAAGCTTTATGCACAAATATTTTTATTGACATACTATGGCTAGAAACAACCTAAATAATCAACATTAAGGGATTGGTTACTATTATAGTTTTTCTTAGCCTACTGATTTTCATTTCTGGTTCCACATTAAAATCACTTGGTTTGCTATATTTTTACAATAATGATTCCTAATCTTCATATCAGAACAACTGAATCAAAATCTCTAGGACTGAGACCTAGGCATATATGTATAAAAAGTCTCTGAGTGGCTTTCATGTGTAGCCAGGGTTGAAAACCACTAGGCTGAAGAAACTATGATAGATAATTGTGCAGTAGAATATTATGCAGCCAATAAAAAATGCTTCCAGAGTTTTGAAAAAATACATACTTTAGGGCTGGGCATGATGGTTCATGCCTGTAATCCCAGCACTTTGGGAGGCCGAGGTGGGTGGATTGCTTGAGTTCAGGAGTACAAGACCGGTCTGGGCCACACAGCACCTTGTCTCTACAAAAAAAGAAAAAAAAAAAAAGCCTGGCATGGTGGCGTACACCTGTAGTCCTAGCTACTTACTCAGGAGGCTGAGGTGGAAGGATTGCTTGAACCAGGGAGGTTGAGGCTGCAGTGAGCTGAGATCTTGCCACTGCACTCCAGCCTGGGTGAAAGAATGAGACCCCGTCTTGACAACAGAAAAGAAAAAAAAATACATATTTTATTTTGAAACAGTTCTAAACTTACCAAAAACTTGCAAGGTTGGCATAAAGAACTTTCATGGACCCATCATCTAGAGATGCCATTCAAGTTTGGCCAACTGTCCCAGAAACATCCTTTACAGAAAAGAATGCAGTTCAAGATCTCAACATTGTTCACAGCTGTTATGACTATTTTTCATGACCTCAACATTCTTTAAAGATTATAGGACAATCACTTAGAATATTTTTCAATGTGGGTGTGTTGGGTTCCTCAGGATCACTCCAGGTTTGATGATTTGCTAGGAGGACTCACAGGACTCAGCAGATGGCCACAGTCGTCGCTATGATTTATTAAAGCCAAAGAATAAAAAGGAAAATTAGCAAAGGGAAAAGGCACAATGGGCAAAATCCAGAGAAAACCAGGCAAGCTCCCAAGACTTCTCCCCAGTAGAATCATACAGGATGTGTTAATTTCCCCAGCAATGAGCTCTGATAACACATGTGAAATGTTACCTACCAGGAAGCTTATTAGAAATTCAGTGCTCAAGGGTTTTATTGTGACTGGTCACATAGACACTCTCTGTCCAGCAAGTACCAAAATTCCAGACTCCCCAAAGGAAAGCAGAATTCAACACAATCCTCATTCTTTGTACAAGCAGTTTGGGCAGAGCGAGCCACTCACTGTGTGATGGGAACACTCCTTAAATCCAAGTTCCCAGATACCAATCATGGGCAACCTTGCAAGCAGGCCTTTCTAAGGATAGCAGCCCCAGGCCTGCTATGTTAATTCTCATCTACACAGTGGATTTGTTTGATGTTTCTCATAATTAGACCCAGGTAATATATTTTTGGCTGGAATATCACAGATGTTGTATTCTTTTCATTGCAACTATTGGATGGAGCATGGCATCTGTTTGTTTCTAGTCTGATTCTATTTTTCATGTGTGACTGCTAACAGCTTTCAAGGCCCACTCCTCTTTCTTCCTCTTCTGCCCTACATCTTGGCAAGCTGATAAGAAAGCCTGGGTGATTCCTTGTTTGATGCTGGTGGGAGGTTCAAAGCACGTGAGCCCTGTCCCATAACTGGTAACCCTCACCCCAGCCGGAGCCCATTAACCACAATAAAAAATCAAAGCCAGTCACCCTCTGTGCTTTCTCAGCCATTTCCAGACCTGTTTGGGAGCCTGCCCTACTCTTCCCAGAAAGCCTCAATATATGAGTAATAAATAAATCTCTTTTTATCCTCTTGGGGTGTGTGTATGTGTGTGTGTGTGTGTGTGTGTGTGTGTCATCATCAGTCTCAAATCTAAACCAATTTTGGAGGTGAGGGGTGGTCCATCTTGCACCTATAAAAGTCTCATTACTGGTGGTGTTAACTTTTCTTGGTCAAGACAGTGTCTGCCAGGCTTCTACAACTAGAAAGTCATGTTTTTCCCCTTTTGTAATCAATAGATATTTTCTGGAGAGATAATTTGAGACTATGTAAAATTTCATTTAAACCCTACTTTCACCCACCAGTTTGGGTGTCCATTAATGTTAATTATTACTGTGATAGTTGTCAAATGGAGACCTTCTGATATCATCAATCCTTCTACATTTATTAGTTGGCTTTCTACTGTAAGGGAGACTTCTCTTGCCTTCCCATTTGTTTATTCATTTATTCATTTATTTCTTTTAGCAGTGTGGAGCCACATATTTGTGTTTTATTCAGTAGATTAGAATCTGTAACTGTCATTATTTATCTTGATGCTCAAATCACCAGATGTGGCCAATGAAAGCCTCTTTAAACTGGCTTCTGAGAATTTTTGTTATCTCCTCATTATTGTTTGAGAATTTCTTTGCTTCCTAGCACAGAAGGATATTCAGGTTCATCTTGTACATTCCCTGCCTCAGCCCTGGAATCTGATGTTTCTCCAAGAAGCCCTGCTTCCTTTCATTGAAAAGTGATATTAACAAGTCAAAATCTAGATGCTAGATGTGCTTGTTATAGCTGGGGCATGACTATTCCCAGGCCCTTTCTGTGAATAGAGGTAGGATGTATATGAATGTATACACACATCAAATCTCTCTGTATTTGTGTGTCTGCACACATAAAAACCATAAGATTCACACTGATACCACAAAGTCTAACAACACAAAGTTCATTCTGGTTTCCTTTTATTTTTCTGTAATTGTAACTCCAACAGTGAAAAGCCTGGCTCCTCTTATATGAATCATCCTGTAAATGGCCAGGCTTTCTGCAACCCCCTCCTTCTCTCACCCAAAACTCTAATTTGAACCTGCCTCTATACGCTGCCTAACTTGTTTGGATCTGCCTAATGGCTTTTTGTTTTACAGCTTTATGGAGGTATAATGGATATACAGTGAACTATACATATTTAAGTGCACAATACGTTGAGTTTTGACATATGTATATGCCCATAAAATCATAACCACCATCAAGATAATTAATATATCATCCACCTCAAATAGCTTCCTATGCCCTTTTATAATCTCTCCTTCCTGCCCCTCCTCCACAATAATCCTCTGTGTTCCCAGGCAACAGCTGATCTACTATCTGTCACTATAGATTAGTTTGCATTTTATATAATGGGATCACACAGCATGCACTCATCTTTGGCTTCTTTCACGCAGCATAATTATTTTGAGAGTCATCCATTCCGTTACATGGATCAATACAATAGTCCATCCCTTTTTATTGCTGAAAAGTATTCCATTGCATGGATAAATCACAGCATGTTGATCTATTCACCCACTGAAGGGCATTTGGGTTGTTTGTAGGTTTTTGTTGTTGTTGTTTGTTTGTTTGTTTATTTTGAAATGGAGTTTCGCTCTTATCACCCAGGCTGGAGTGCAATGGTGTGATCTCGGCTCACTGCAACCTTCTCCTCCCGGTTTCAAGCGATTCTCCCACCTCGGCCTCCTGAGTAGCTGGGATTACAGGCATGCGCCACCATGCCCGGCTAATTTTGTATTTGTAGTAGAGACGGGATTTCACCATGTTGGCTAGGTTGGTCTTGAACCCCGACCTCAGATGATCCACCCGCCTCAGCCTCCCAAAGTGGTGGGATTACAGGCGTGAGCCACTGTGCCCGGCCATTGTTTGTAGTTTTTGTCTATTGTAAATAAAGCTGCTATGAACATTCACTACATAGGCTTTATTTTGTGAACAAATAAGTTTATTTTGTCTTGGATCAATGCATAGAGGACAACAACTGGGTTGTATGGTAGGTATAGGCTTAAATTCTTAAGAAACCAACAAAATGTCTCCCCAGTACATCGTGCCATTTTACATCAGCAATATATGAGAGTTCCAGTTAATCCACATCCCTACCAGTACTTTGTAATTTTAACAGGTTTTATAACATTAGCCATTCTAGTGGGTGTGAGGTGGTTTTCATTTGCATTTCCCTAGTGAGTAAGGCTATGAAGCATCTTTCCATGGGCCTATCTGCCATTCTTATATCAACTTTTATGCAAGTTTGGCCCATTTTTCACAAGTTTTTTTATTTTTTATTTTTTTGGTCTTAGGATCCTGGAGTTGTAACGGTTCTTTTTATACTGTAATCTTTTGTCAAATATCTTTCAAAAAGATATTCTCTCATTCTGTGGTTTGCCCTTTCACATTCTTACCATGTCTATGATGCACAAAGTATTTTCATTTTGTGGTGAAGTCCAAATAATTGACTTTCCTTTTTTATTCCTTTCTTTGTATGCTGTTTTAAAAACTTCAACAAAAACAGATCACCAAGGTTTTCTCTTATGTTTTATTCTAAAAGTGTTATTGTTTTATTTAGGGATATGATCAATTTCAACTTTATTTTCCTGTATGATATGACATAAGGGATAAGGTTTATTTTGGTATCCATGTATTTTTTTTTTTTTTTTTTTGAGACAGGTACTTGCTCTGTCACCCAGGCTGGAGTGCAGTGGCACGATCTTAGCTCAATGCAACCTCTACCTCCGGAGCTCAATTGATCCTTCCACCTCAGCCTTCCAAGTGGCTGGGACTACAGGCGTGTGCCACCATGCTCAGCTAATTTTTGTATTTTTTCGTAGAGATGGGTTTTCACCATGTTGCTCAGGCTGGTCTTGAACTCTTAAGCCCAAGTGATTTGCCTGCCTCAGCCTCCCAAAGTGCTGGGATTACAGGCATGAGCCACCATGCCCTACCTTATATAATTTTTCTAGTGCCATTTTGTTGAAAGACTCTCCTTTCCCCCACTGAATTGCCTTGGCAAATTTGTCAAAAATCAATTGACCATATATACGTATGGGTCTGTTTCTAGACTGTCTATATTGTTTCATTGGTTTAGTTTTTTCACTTTATGCTGATACTACACTGCCTGGATTACTGTATCTTTATAATAAGTCTTGAAATCAGCCCCTAAACTTTCTCCTTATTTTACAAAGTTTTTGGTTATTTCAGGTTCTTTGTATTTCCATATAAATTTGAAAGTTAGATTATCAATTACTTTTTAAAAAATCTTGGAATTCTGGTTGAGATTACAACTTAGGGAAACTTGGCATCTTAACAGTACTTAGTCTTTTAATTAATGAACATGGCATAGGTCCCCATTTAGCTAAATCTCCTTGAATTTCTCTCTGTAATGCTTTATAATTTTCAGTGTACAATCAATGCACATCCTTGGTTAAATTTATCACTAAGCATTTCATATATTTAATTGCTATTATAAGTGGTATTCTTAAATTTCAGTGTCTGATTATTCATTATTGGTATACAGAAAAACAAATGATTTTGTCGTATAATATTATGTATTGATCTTACTAAACTCACATACTAGTTTAAATAGCTTTCAAAATATATTCTGTACTTTTTGTCTACATAAAGGATCATTTCTTCTGTGAATAAAGGCAAATTTAGCTCCTTTTCTTGCCTTATTTCACTGGCAAGTAGAATATCTACTATAACATTGAATACAAGTGGTAAGAACATATATTTTTTACTTGATCCTCATCTTAGGGAAAAAGTATCCGGTCTTTTACCATTAAGTATGATGTTAGCTGTAGGTTTTTGGAAATAACCTGTAGGTTGAGTAAATTCCCTTCTGTTCTGAGTTTGCTGACAGTTTTTTAAAAAATCAGGAATGGATGATGGATATTGCCAAACACATTTTATTGTCAGTTGAGATGATCTATGGTTTTTCTTTTTTAGTCTGTTAATAAGATAAATAACTTTTTTTTTTAAACCATTCAGCAAACCTTCCATTCTATGGATAAGTCCCACTTCATTATGACATATTGTCCTTTCATATATTGTTGGAATCAATTTACTAAAATTTGTTAAGAATTTTTGCATCTATGTTCATGAGGTATATTTGTCTGAACTTTTCTTTTCTTGCAAGGTCTTTGTCTAATTTTGGTGTCAGAGTAATGTTGGCCTCAGAATCAGTTGTGACATAGTTCCTCCTCTACAGTTTTCTGGAAGAGTTCATGAAGAATTAGTATTATTTCTTTCTTCGAAGCTTAGTGGACTTGACTAATAAAGCAGCTAACACTGCAGTTTTCTTTATAGCAAGGCTTTTAACCACAAATTCAATTTCTTTAATGGATAGAGGACTACTCTGGTTATCTATTTCTTCATGAGTGAGTTTGGCTAGTTTGAGTTGATCAAGGAATTTGTCTATTTCATCTAAGTGGAATTTATTGTCATAAAGTTATTCATAATATTTATATATTATTCTTTTATCTGTAGGACCTATAGTGATGTCACCTCTCTCACCCATGCTTATGGTAATTTATGTCTTCTCTATTTTCTTCTGATCAGTTGGGATTGAGATTTATTTACTTTATTAATATTCTTATAGAACAAGCTTTTAGTTTCACTGATATTTCTATACAATTTGCCTATTTTCTATTTCATTTATTTTCTTATTATTTCCTTTCTCCTGCTTCCTTTTTGTATAGTTTGCTCTTCTTTTACTGGTTTCTGAAGTTTCTTGATGGTATGGATGTCCTGCAGAAGCTAGGTTCTTCATCACAGAGCTGGCCAAGAAATCAGAGAAGCTGAATGATTCAGGAGAATGCAGAGCAATTGCAGGTGAAGCCCTGCTTCAGGATAAATGTGGTGAGTTAGCAGATAAGAGACAATGTATGTGAGCAACCAAATGGCTGCTGTTTTTCTTCTGCACTTCAAATAGCCCATAAGAATCTCTCCTGTGGTCTACTCTAATAGGGTATATACAGGAAGGGGAACTACAAGAAATTTAGTTCAGTCAATCTACGTCAACCCAATAAGAGGCCATCACAAACCTACTTGTGTCTTTATATTGAAAGTGAGTTTCTTGTAGCCAGCATATACGGTCATGTATCAAATAGTAATGTTTCAGTTAATGATGGGCTATATATGGAACCAATGGTCGTTCCATAAGATTATAAAACTGCATTTTTACTATACCTTTTCTATGTTTAAATACACAAATAATTATCATTGTGCTACACTTGCCTATAGTATTCAGTACAGTAACATGTTATACAGGTTTGTAGCCTAGGAGCAATAGGCTATATCATATAGCCTAGGTACATAGAAGGCTATACTGTCTAGGTTTGTGTAAGTACACACGATGATGTTCACACAATGAGGAAATCACCTAATTAGGCGTTTCTTAGAATGCATCCTTGTTGTTAAGCAATGCATGACTGTAGTTTGGTCTTGCTTTTTTTTAAAAAAAAAATGCAGTCTGACTACATTTAATTAGAGAATTTAGAACATTTACATTTAATGTGATTGTTGATATGATTGTGTTTAAATCTACCTTCTTTGTTTCTTTTCTAGTAGTCCCACCTATTCTTTGTTCCCTTTTACTTCCTTCTTTTGGATTAATTAATTTTGATTCTATTTTTTATCCTTTGTTGGCTTAGTAGCTATAACTTCTAGTATTGTTTTTGTAGTAGTTGCTTTAGATTTTATATTACACATCTAATATTATACCATGTTATGTATAATATTAAAATGCTACGACAGTAAAGTTCCAGCTCTTCCCATTCTGGTCTTGGTCTTGTTTTTACACGTTTTACTTTTTTATTGTTATAAAGTCCATCATACTTTTTTTTGCTTTAGTCAGTAATATTTTAAAGAAATATTTTAAAGCCAGGCGTGGTGGCTCATGCTTGTAATCCCAGCACTTCGTGAGGCCAAGGTGGGAAGATCACCTGAGGTTGGGAGTTTGAGACCAGCCTGACCAACATGGAGAAACCCTGGCTCTACTAAAAATACACAATTAGCTGGGTATGGTGGTGCATGCCTGTAATCCCAGCTACTCAGGAGGCTGAGGCAGGAGAATCACTTGAATCTGGGAGGCGGAGGTTGCGGTGAGCCGAGATTGCACCATTGCACTCCAGCCTGGGCAACAAGAGTGAAACTCCATCTCAAAATTTTAAAAAGAAGAAAAAGAAAAAGAAATTTTTAAATAAAAAGAAAAGGAGGCCGGGTGCAGTGGCTCACGCCTGTAACCCCAGCACTTAGGAAGGCCGAGGTGGGCTGATTGCTTGAGCTCAAGAGTTTGAGACCAGCCTGGGCAACATGGCAAAACCCTATTTCTACAAAAAAATTACAAAAATTAGCTAGATGTGATAGTGCATGCCTATAGTCCCAGCTACTTGGGAGGCTAAGGTGGGAGGATTACTTGAGCCCAGGAGGCAGAGGTTGCAGTTAGCTGATACCTCGCCACTGCACTCCAGCCTAGGTGACAAAGTGAGACCCTGTCTTCCAAAAAAGAAAAAAGAAAAGGATTTATATTTACCCACATTATTTATCATTTCTGGTGTTCTTTATCCCATTGTGTAGATTCAGATTTCCCTGTGATATCATATTCCTTCTACCTGAAAACTTCCTTTAATATTTTAGCTCAGGTCTTTTGCTGATTAAGCTTTCAGCTTTTTATATCTGAAAAAAATATTTCACCTTTATCATGATTTCAATGGTTTTATTGAGATATAATTCAAATACCATACAATTCTCCCTTTTAAAATGTATATTTCAATATTTTTAGGATATACACAAGATTATGCATCCATTGCCACATTTCTGTTCTCCCTAAAGAAATCCTAACTTGCTTTATCTGTCACTTTCCATTTTCTCCTCCCACTTCCAGCCCTAAGCAACTATTAGTCCACTTTCTGTCACTACAGACTTGCCTATTCTGGATATTTCACATAAGTGGAATCATAAAATATCCAATCACCTTTTACTGTTTTTTTCACTTGCCGTAACATTTTCAGGGTTCATGCATGTTGTTGCTTGTATCAGTACTTCATTTCTTATTATTGCCAAGTAACTTTCCATTGTATGCGTATATCATATTTTACTTATTCATTTATCACATGATGAATATTTGAATTATTTTCACTTTTTAATCATTAGGAATGCTATGAACATTTGTATACAAGTTTTGTGTGAACATAAACCTAGGAATAAAATTGATACGTCATGGTAACTCTATGTTCAATACACCTCCACTGTATGACAAATATTTTTGCTGGCTGGAGAATGCTAAGTTGACAGTTTTTTTCTTTAAGTGTTTTAAAGTTGTTTCTACACTGTCTTCTAACATGCATTGTTTCCAGTTAGTAGTCTGTGATAATTCTAATCTTCATTCTTTTTTCCATATGTGTCTTTTTTCTCTGGTTGCTTTATTATTTTTCTCTTTATTACTAATTTGATTGTGATGTGACTTAGCATCATGCCTCTTATACTTGGCATTTACTAAGCTTCTTGAATCTGTGTGGTTTAGAGGTTTCATTAAACTTGGGAAAGTTTTAGCCATTATTTCTTTGATTTTTTTTTTCTGTTCCCACTTACTTCCTTTGGGAACTCCCATTATGTGTGTATTAGGCTGCTTAAACTTGCCCTAAACTCCCTGAAGCTGTATTCACTTTTATTGGTCTTTTTAATTTGTTTCCTTTTGAATAGTTTCTATTGCTCTGCCTTAAGTTCATTAATCTTTCCTTCTGAAGTGACTAATCTGCTGTTAATTCCATCCAATGTATTTTTTCTTTCAGGCATTGTAGTTTTATCTCTAGAAGTTTGATTTACAGTTAAAAAATATCTTTCATGTCCCTTTTTAACATACTCAGGCTATAATCTACCTTCTTGACCATAAGAAATATAATTACAATATCTGTTTTAATGTCCTTTAATTCTGTCATCTGTATTACTACTGAGTCTCTTTCTATTGATTACTTTTTTCATTATGGCTCATATTTCCTGCTTCTTAGCATATTTGGTAATATTTTTATTGGATCCCAGACATCATTAATTTTATCTCGTTAGGTACTGGATTTTTTTTTTCTATATTTTTGTAAATATTCTTGAGCTTTGTTCTTGGAATTAAATTACTTGGAAACAGTTTGATCCTTTGAGACCTGCTTTCATACTTGTTTTATACAGGATCAGAGCAGCTTTTAACCTAGGATTAATTTCATCCCACTGTTGGGACATTATCCTTCTGAATACACTATCTTACATCCACAAATTATGAGTTCTATCCACTCTGGCATGTGGGAATACAAACTCTTCCAAGCCCTATGTGAATCCCAATGGTTTTTCCTCCTAGAAAACTTGAATAGTTTCTTCACACACACACATGCTGTTCAGTACTTAGATGAAAACTCAAAGGGGATGCTCTTCAGATCTCCAGAGCCTTCTCTCTGTGCAGGCCTCTCTTCTTTGGTATTATGTCTCATGAACTCTAATAGCCATGATGTGCTTGAACTCACACTACCCCCTCCTAATACACTAGATGAAAAACCCGGTTCTTATTATTCTGTCTTGTCCAAAAGCAGAAGTCTCCTTAATGGTATTTGATAAGGAAAGAGGGAAGACGATAAACACTTTTAAAGAAGACAATGGAAGGGAAGAGAAGAAATGAAAGAGGAAGAATAAGAATTGTTTACATAATTTTACTAGCATTGGAGAAAGCTTATGACAGTGCTAATGTTTACAAAAACAAAATCATACATACAATATGGTCACAATTATGAAACAAAACAAAAATAAAAACAAACCTGGGCCAGGACTGAGAGAGACACTAACAACACTTGCCCTTGGGAATAGGATTGTTCTTATTTTTAGTTTTTCTATATTTTCCAAAGTTTTAGAAATAATAATTTTATAGCATTTTTATATTGAAGGAGAAAAAAATGCAACTGAGATAAACTGGATCCACCTTAAAATAAGAAGGGAAATAAGGAGAAGAAGAGAATAAAATACCCTAAATTTTGTGACAATTTTTTAGGTAGAAGGATTCTATGGGTTGTCATATTAAGATTAGAAATTCCACTTGGTTGACTTATTGAAATGTTACCACCACCACCACCGCCAAAATGTAGCCCTCAAGGATCCAAGAGACTTGTAATTCCAAATAAGTTGCTACACAATACTAAATAAGATTATCTTCTCACTTATACTGACCTAAAGACTCTCCAGTGATAGTCAGTAGCTAAAGATCTTCTGGCATCTGGCATGAATGCCAGAAATCTGGCTCTAGCTATCTAGATTCTTGACAATGTTTTGATAGCACAAATAAGTTTTCAGAGTGGAGGCTTAACTTCCGGTGGCATTTAAACGCTATACAATTCAAAGACAAAGAGGAAGTTATTTTAAACAGAGCAAGGAAGAACTAACAAATGTGTAGGGGTTGGTGCACACAAAAACCTGACTGTCTTTGCCAGACTTATATGTAGCATGTTCTCCACTATGCTTCTCTTACATCTTGTGGATATAAATTCAGTGTTTGCAGTATTTAAAAAGACGTCGTGTAAAGATCATTTATCTGAATGAACATAAAATAAGTCTTTCCCCCAAAATGCAAACATTTTGCCTCTTTGTTCATTGATTCCCCAGCAAAATTCAGTGTTTCTTCTTCTATGTAAACCTTGTATTTGCTATGGCTAACTCAGTTTTCTGCTTTCCTGTTCATACATATTAAAGGACTCAATGACATAATCGGCTTTGCTTTTCACTCAGTTGCTTAGGGCTTATAAAAATAAAACACAAATACCCACAGCTGTTCTAGGCAATCACTCAGCTCTTTGGAAAGAAAATACAGATACAGAGACAGGTGGTTCTGCTCTAAGCACAACATTCAAAATTAAGAGTGGAGAGACTGCAGCTGTGTTTCCAGGAGAAAACTAGCAAACTCCAAGACTTTCTATGCTAAATACAGTTGCATATGGACACCCAGGATCAAGGGAGTGGCCTGTCTTGAGTCTTGCTTCTCCAGAGGTTGACCAGGATATCCAAAGTCTTACTCTATGGGGATATTTCAAGATTTATGATTGCTCAGTGGCGGTGGTTCAGCAGTCCAGATAATGGAGAGCTGACAGCATGCCGACTGTCAGATTGTGAGGTTAGCAAAGAACACACAAGGAAGTCTACCTGCCCTTCTGTCAGCTAGTCTGATTGCAATAAGAAACGAGTGATACTGTCTGGTTCTAGTCTTAATATACTCACAGCATCCAGCCTAGCCAAAGCTTCTGACTGCTACCCAAAGAATGTGAGACCACAGAAGCTATGACTCCTGTTTCAAAACTGGCTGTCCTTGCTGCCTCCAGCTCCCTTCAGCTGCCCCTAGAGCCTGCCTTACAACTCCTTCAATCTCAGTACTACTGTACAACTGTTTTCAACTTCACGCACTTCTCTGATTTCAAACTTACCACTGAATTGGGTTCGGAGTCCCTATTCCATCTCTAGTCCCAGGAACCACAGTTCTTGCCAGATTAGCCTTCTCCCAAGTGGTGGGAGACTCAAATAGCAGCTTAAACCTCTATATGATTTTTCTACCCTATATCCCCATAAAGCTTTTCCATATCAATCCAGCCATTGATTTATGGGCTATATTGGCACTTATCAAACATTTTTACAGCAATCCATCTATCCCACTCATTCTAATTTTCAGCAGAAAACAGAATTTGAGAAGAATAATCAAGATTACAACGATACAAGAAAAAAATCGAACAAATGAAAAACCTAATGATGATTTTTTCATACGTTAATAAATATTATTATATGAATGAATACGAGCATAACAATAAAAGCCATTACCAATTCAAGTGAACACTGATAGTTGGGTGTGATGGCTTATGCTGTAATCCCAACACCTTGGGAATCCAAGGCAGGAGAATCACTTGAGGCCAGAAGTTCAAGACAAGTCTGGGCAACATAGTAAGGCCCAAAATAAAAAAATAAAGTTAAAAAAGAACATTGTAATCTGCTTTTATGACTTTTGGGGTTTTTTGAGTTGTTCTTTTTTTTTTTTTTTTTTTTTTTTGGTGGGGGGAACAGTTTCCCTCTGTCACCCAGGCTGGAGTGCAATACTGAGATCTCAGCTCACTGCAACCTCTGCCTCCTGGGCTTAAGCGATTCTCCTGCCTCAGGCTCCTGACTAGCTGGAATTATAGGCATGCGTCGTGATGCCCAGCCAATTTTTCTATTTTTAGCAGAGACGGGGTTTCACCATGTTGGCCAGGCTGGTCTCAAACTCCTGACCTCAAATGATCCACCTGCCTTGGTCTCCCAGAATGCTGGGATTACAGATGTGAGCCACCATGCTCGACTTGCTTTTATTAATTTGGTTTTTTCGTTTTGTTTTGTTTGAAACAGTTTCACTATGTTGCCTGGGCTAGTCTTGAACTTCTGGGCTCAAGCAACCCTTCCACCTCAGCCTAATGAGAATTACAGGCACGTGCCACCATGTTTGCTCTGCTTTTATAAATTTGAATAATTTTTTTTTTTTGAGACGGAGTCTCATTCTGCCGCCCAGGCTGGAGTGCAGTGGTGCAATCTCTGCTCACCGCAAGCTCCACCTCCCTGGTTCACACCATTCTCCTGCCTCACCCTCCCAAGTAGCTGGGACTACAGGCGGCTGCTGGCACGCCTGGCTAATTTTTTTTGTATTTTTTAGTAGAGACAGGGTTTCACTGTGTTAGCCAGGATGGTCTCGATCTCCTGACCTCATAATCCACCCACCTCAGCCTCCCAAAGTGCTGGGATTACAGGCGTGAGCCACCGCACCCAGCCAAATTTGTAGTAATTCTTAAGAGGAGAGAAGATTCTGGGAAGACAGCATAGTAGGAAGCACCATAAATCTGTCTCCTCAACTAGTAACAATTGCACTGGCAAAATCTGTCTGATATAAGATTTTTTGAACTCTGGCATCTATTAAAGGCTTGTAACTTCTAGGAAAAGGCACGGATGGTAAATTGAGGTTAATTTTGGTCAATTTCAGCTCTTATAACAGCAACAGCTACCCATCCCCCACCATGTAGTCCCACAGCAGACAGCTGTGTACATGTCCTGGAGAGCCTGCATGTAAACTGCAGAAGCCAGGATGAGCAAAAAGGATCATGTCTTCCAAATATCATGAGTCTGTGCTCTAATTGCTGATTGCTGCTTCTGATCACAGAGATGCAGAGAAAGTGGCAGGTGGCCATTGTTTTTGCACCTCCCCCCCGCATTATTGCAATCCTGTCTCCCATGACTGAAGTGACTTCCAGGGCACTTAAGGGGCTGCCATTTTAACAACACCACCACCACTTTATTTTTCTTTTTTTCCTTTTTTTAGGAGCCAGGCACTGAAGACTAGCACATTCAAAAGCAGCTGGATGTATGAGGGACATTAGAACATCACTGTACAAGCTCAGGGAAAGCCCAGGCTCAGAAAGGGCCTAAGAATACCCTTAAGTTCATGCTTCAGTCTGATCCTTGGCACAGAGATAGTGTTCAACAAACAACAAACAAAAACAAAATAAAAAAAAAACCAGCAAACTTTGAGGAAGGGAGAGAATCTGATTTCTAGAGTTAACATACCATTAGATTAAAATGTCAGATTTCCACAAAAAATCACAAGGCATATAAAGAAACAGGAATGCATGGCTCATTCAAAAGAAAAAACTAAACTGACAGAAACTGTTCTTAGAAAACACCTGATGGCAGATCTACTAGACAAAGGCTTTAAAACAACTGTCTTAAAGATGCTCAAAGAAGTAAAGGAAGACATGGAGAAAGTCAAGAAAATGGTATATAAACAAAATGGAAATATCAACAATGTGATAGAAAACCTAAACACAAACTGCAAAGAAATTCTGGAACTGAAGAGTACAATAACTGAAATGAAACATTCACTAGAAAGATTCAAATGCAGATTTGAGTATTTGAGCAGACAGAAGAAAGGATCAACAAACTCAACAAACTTGAAGATAGGATAATGGAAAGTACTGACTTGAGTAACACAAAGAAATAAGAGTGAGGAAAAATTAACAGAGCCTAATGGACCTGTGTGATATAATCAAGCTAACCAATATATGCATTGCATGGGTCACAGAAGGAGAACAGAGAGAAGGAGAAGAGAGGCTATTTGAAAAATAATGGCCAAGAACTTCTCAAAAGTAATGAAAGACATAAATATAAACATTCAAGAAGGTAAACTAACTCCAAGTAGGATTAACTCAAAGAGACCCATATTGAGACACATTACAATCAAACTGTTGAAAACCAAAAAAAGACAGAAAGCAGCAAGAGAGAAGCAACTTGTTATACACAAGGAATCCTCAATAAGATTTTCAGCAGATTTCTCATGAGAAAGTCTGGAGGCCAGCAGAAGTGGGATGATATATTTTAAGTGCTGAAAGAAAAAAACCTGTCAACCAAGAATCTTGTATCTGGCAAAACTGTCCTTCAAAAGTGAGGAAGAAATTAAGACATTTCAGATAAACAAAAACAGAAGGAGTTTATTACCACTAGAGCTGCCCTACAAGAAATGCTCCAGGGAGTCCTGCAGGATGAAATGAAGGGACACTAGATGGTAACTTGAAGTCATATGAAGAAATAAAGGTCTTAGTTGAGGTAAGTACGTGAGCATTATAGAAGCTAGTATTATTGTAACAATGGCTTGTAATTCCACTTTTTGTTTTCTGTATGACTTAAGAGATTAATACATTTTAAAAGCAATTATTAATCTAAAACCTGTAATTATTGTAACTTTGGTTTGAAACTCCACATTTTGTTTTCTACATAATTTAAGACATGCATTTTTTAAAGTATTTGTTTTTTATATTACAATGCATTATAATTGTATTATAATTGTTTATATAATACGATGTATTATGTGTTTTTATAATACGATGTATTATAAGTGTTTTTATAATACGATGTATTATAAGTGTTTTTATAATACGATGTATTATAAGTGTTTTTATAATACGATGTATTATAAGTGTTTTTATAATACGATGTATTATAAGTGTTTTTATAATACGATGTATTATAAGTGTTTTTATAATACGATGTATTATAAGTGTTTTTATAATACGATGTATTATAAGTGTTTTTATAATACGATGTATTATAAGTGTTTTTATAATACGATGTATTATAAGTGTTTTTATAATACGATGTATTATAAGTGTTTTTATAATACGATGTATTATAAGTGTTTTTATAATACGATGTATTATAAGTGTTTTTATAATACGATGTATTATAAGTGTTTTTATAATACGATGTATTATAAGTGTTTTTATAATACGATGTATTATAAGTGTTTTTATAATACGATGTATTATAAGTGTTTTTATAATACGATGTATTATAAGTGTTTTTATAATACGATGTATTATAAGTGTTTTTATAATACGATGTATTATAAGTGTTTTTATAATACGATGTATTATAAGTGTTTTTATAATACGATGTATTATAAGTGTTTTTATAATACGATGTATTATAAGTGTTTTTATAATACGATGTATTATAAGTGTTTTTATAATACGATGTATTATAAGTGTTTTTATAATACGATGTATTATAAGTGTTTTTATAATACGATGTATTATAAGTGTTTTTATAATACGATGTATTATAAGTGTTTTTATAATACGATGTATTATAAGTGTTTTTATAATACGATGTATTATAAGTGTTTTTATAATACAATGTATAAAGATATAATTTTGTGACATCAACAACAAAAAGAATAAGGATACAGATATAAAGGAGCAAAAATTTTGTATGTTATTGGGGTTAAACTGGAATATTCAAATTTGAGTGATATGCCTTGAAGATGTTAAATGTAACCCTTGATAACCAAAAGGAAATAGCTATAGAATATACACAAAATAAAAAGAGAAAGAAATTTAAACACTTCACTACAAACAGTCAACTAAACACAAAAGAAGATATGAGGAACAAAAATGTATAAGACAAATGGAAAACAAATAGCTAATTGATAGATGTCAGACCCTTCTCGTCAGTAATTACTTTAAATGTAAATGGATTATACTCTCCAAAGACAGATTGAAAGAATGCACTTAAAAAAAGATCCAACTATGTGCTATCTACAAGATACTCATTTTAGATCCAAAGACACAAACAGGTTGAAAATGGAAGGATAGAAAATAATATTCCATGAAAATAGTAACCAGAGGAGGGCAATGGAGGTTATGCTAATAACATACAAAATAGACTTTAAATAAAAAAAAGTTTACAAGAGACAAAGAAGGATATTATAATAAAAGGTTCGATACAGCAAAAGATAACAATTATAAACAGCTACATAACTAAGACCACCAAAACATATGAAGTAAAAATTGACAGAGTTGAACATTGATGAAATAAATTGAAGACAAAAATAAATGGAAAGATATCTCATGTTCATGCATTGGAAGAATTAATATTCTTAAAAAGTCCATGCTACCCAGAGCAACCTATAGATTTAATGCAATCCCTATTAAAATTCCAATGACATTTTTTGCAAAAATAGATAAAACAATTCAAAAATTTGTATGGAACCACAAAAAAAACCCTGAATAGCCAAATCAATCTCGAGCAAGAACAAAACTCCAGGCATCACACTACGTAATTTTGAAATATACTACATAGCTACAGTAATCAAAACAACATTGTACTGGTGCAAAAAACAGAAATAAAAACCAACAGAACAGAAGAGAGAGCCCAGAAATAAATCCATACATTTATGGTCAACAGATCTTCAACAAGGATGCTAGGAACACACAATGGGGGAAGAACAGGCTCTTGAATAAATGGTGTTGGAAAATTGTATATCTGCATGCAGAAGAGTGAAACTGGACCCATATCTCATACCTTATACAAGAATCAAGTCAAAATGGATTAAGGACTTAAACTTAATACCTGAAACTGTAAAACTACTAAAAGAAAACATAGGGGGAAAGCTTCTTGAAATTGGTCTGAGCAATGATTTTTTTTTGGATATGACCCCAAAATGACAGGCAACAAAAGAAGCAACAAAAGAAAAAAATAGACAAATGGGGTTACATTTTCACTTAAAGTCTTCTACACAGCAAGGAATACAATCAGTAGATGAAGGGACAACCTACAGAATGAGAGAAAGTATTTGCAAGCCATACATTTGATAAGGGGTTAATATCCGAAATATATAAGGAACTCAAACAACTCAACAGCAAATAAATAAATAAAACCCAATTTTGAAATGGGCAAAGGACCTTAATAGACATTTCTCAAAATAAGACATAAAAATTGCCAAATGTATTTGAAGAAAATGCTTAACATCATAAGTCATGAGGGAAATGCAAATTAAAATCACAATGAGATATCGTCTCACACCTGTTAGAATGGCTATGATCAAAAAGACAAAAGATAACAAGTGTTGGTGAGGATGTGGAGGGAAAGGAACCCTTGTACACTGTTAATGGGAATGTAAATTAGTATAGCCATTATGGAAAACAGAATGGAGTTTTCTCAAAAAAATAAAAAATAGAAGCCAGGCCCAGTGGCCTGTAATCCCAGCACTTTGGGAAGATGAGGAGGGCAGGTTTCTTGAGGTCAGGAGTTTGAGGCCAGCCTGGGCAACATGGTGAAACCCCATCTCTACTAAAAATACAAAAATTAGCCAGGCATGGTGGCAGGCGCCTGTAATCCCAGCTACTCAGGAGGCTGAGCCAAGAGAATCACTTGAACCTGGGAGGCGGAAGTTGCAGTGAGCTGAGATGTCACCACTGCACTCCAACCTGGGCAACAGAGTGAGACTCTGTCTCAAAAAAAAAGAAGAAATTAAAAATAGAATTACCATATGGTTCGTCAATCCAAGTTAGGGAAATATAATACATCCAAGGCAAACAAAAGCCTCATCTCATACAGTTATCTGCACTGCCATCTTCATTGCAGCATTTATTCTTTACAATAGCCAAAATATAGAAACAACTGTTGTTTGTCAACAGATGAATGGGTCACGAAAATATGTTGGGTATGTGTGTGTTTGTGTGTGTGTATGCCTATATATGTATATGTACATGTACATATATACGTATACATGTATATGTACATGTACATGTATACGTATACATGTATATGTACATGTACATGTATACGTATACATGTATATGTACATGTACATGTATACGTATACATGTATATGTACATATATGTATATATGTATATGTGCATATATGTGTATATACGTATATGCGCACATATATATGTATACGTACATATATGTATATGTACATGTGTATATATGTATATGTACACATGTGTATGTATGCATATGTACATATATGTGTGTACATATATGTGTGTATGTATGTATATGTGTGTGCATATATGATAGAATACTATTCAGACTTTAAAAGAGAAGGAAATCTTGTCATTTGCTACAATATAGATGAACCTGGCTTAGGCTAAGTGAAATAAGCCAAGCATAGACAAATACTCCATGATCTCACTTATATGTGGAATCTAAAAGAGTTTAACTCATAGGAGCAGAGAGTAGAATGGTGGTTGCCAGAGGCTGAGGGGAGGGGTGCCAGAGGAAAGGGAGGTGTTGGTCAAAGGATATAATGTTTCAGTTAGACAGGAGGAATACATCTAGTACTGGAAGTTCTAGCCATAGTAATTAAGCAAGAAAAAGAAATAAAAAGCATCTAAATTGGAAAGCAAGAAGTCAAATTATCTTCATCCACAGATGATAGTAATCCTTAATATCAGTACTATGCTAAGCCATACTGGAGCCTGTGACAAAAAGAAAAGTCAGTGATACTGATCCTATTTTTATTTTAAAATTTGATGCTTTGTTTGTCATTGGATGTTTGCATTCATTTTTATTTTTAAAATACTGCATTAAAGTACGATTTCTTTTGAGTAATGAGTTTTTTCGTGCTCCCTTATATTTTGGATTCAGGATGAGTGCCTCACTTGCTTGACCCCAGCCTGGGTCTTATTTAATACTCAGCATGACTATGTAGTAGTCTTAGTCATACCTGAAGATTATGTCATTTGCTTATGAGAATGGGAGGAAAATCTTACATCTATCGATCCTTTTCCAATCCATCTGGAGACTTTTTCCCATCTAGGACCTTTGCACTTGCTTGTCTTTAAGTCTGAATTACTCTTCACCTCTTCACGTAGTTGGCTGCCTCTCCTCCTTCTCAAATCAAGTGTCTTCTCAGAAAAACCTTCACCAAACCACTTCTAAAATAGGTCTCCTTTATTATTTTCAACCACAGAATCCTATTTGTATATTCCAAAGCACTTAAAAATTTGTACGCATGAACTTGTTTGCTGACCTCTTTATCATGTGTTTCCCCCATTATGCTATACACTCCATGAGGGCAAGGACACTATCTGTCTTGTTCACCATTATGTCACCATCACCTAGCAGAGAGCCTAGCACATGGTAGGTTCTCAGTGTATATTCATTGAATGGATGAAGAAGCTAGGGAAACATAGAAACACAGATAGGTTGGGGACCTTCGTGAGCAAGAAGGAAGCTTTTGTTCTGCTTCATGCTGAACATCTGGAATGCCACCACCTGGTCAATTGCCCACCATCCATCAGGGACACAAGCTCCTCAAAGTAAATCAAGTGGTGAGCATAGTTTGGGAAATGTGACCTGGATGAGATTCAGTTATAGTTGAAGGCTTGGCTGGTGGTTACAAGAGAAAGTGCTAGTCAGGGAAGAAGCTGTATGGGGAGGAGGGTTCTTGGGCCGGGGTAAATGGAAGTCATAACCAAATCTCAAGGAGTTTACACAATGTCAAATCACACTAGGCAATAGCTTTAGCTTTGAATGCTTTCAGGCCTGGCATGAACGAGGTACAGTAAGGAGCCAGAAGGCACTGTATGAACCAAGGACTCCCCTCCTCTCGATGCTACAAGGTTATATAAGCAAATACACGAAGAGACATATTTTGTCAAATGCTCTTTCTGCATCCATTTAGATGATCATAGGGGAGGAGAAGAAGGGTAAAAACTGAAAGACCAAAGACCCAAAAGATGATTTAAATCATTGCACTGGGCTAAATTTGTTTTTTTTCCTTCCTCCTGCCTTGCAAGAAATTGTAAAATAGACAACTTATGTTTTGGAAAACTAAAATATCTAATTTTCTTAACAGATTCAAGTGACAGTGTAAGAACATTAAAAGATTTCACAGCAGGTGCATGAAAGAATCCTGGTGGACTATGGTTTGGGAAACCAAATCATAAACCATGGGTCTATATGGCTTATTTAAATGCTATTCATTACTGCCTTCTTGTCTGGTTTTAGGATGACTGACTTATAGGTCCCTAGAGCTGGGAGAAACTTGGTTATCAGCCAGGTTTGTTCTGCCCATGCACAGCAAGTCAATCACTGAGAAGAAGAGTTTTGCAAAAGAGAAAGAGTTTATTTACAAGGCAGCTAAGCAAGGAGGCAGGAAAAGAGGTCTCAAATCTACTTCCCCAAAAATAGGGCTTGAGGGTTCTTATGGGATAGAAATCTGGGTAGTCCAATGTATGGGTAAAGGTGATTGACAGGTAGTAAAGGTGAGGTAATTGGGGTTTCTGTGCAAATGTAATTGAGCTACATGCTTTTCACAGGATACATGTGCAGAAAATGGTGGCATTATATTGATCTGAGGTGAAAGTTTTGGCCCTCTGACATCAAAATGTCACTCTATAGGCACCTGCACAGGCCCAGCTGAAGGGTCAGTGGTCTCAACCAGCTTCAACTGAACAAGAGCTGCCCCATAGTTCCTGAAAAACAACGTTAAACACCCGTTACTATAATGACCCACAGTCAGAGATGTTATCTGTAAGGAAGCTAGTGGGAGTTTTAAGATCAACTAGAAGTAAGTGATTAAAAGCAAGCAAAGCAGGTTAGTGTTGCTGGGCTTAATCAGCTTAGCCCTTAGTTTCACTTTAGTGCTGATGTATTTCATCCTTCCTCATTTCACAAATGAGGAAACAGATCTTGTGATTTGTTCATCCCAATTTGATTCCTTTAAGAAGCCCATCCCCACCTAAGCAAGACATATTAGAATTCATTTGAAAGAAATCCTCCTCCAGGTTACATGGATTCCCCCTGCCTTTCACCTGCCCTGCACCAGGCTCTCAGTTTCTGTTAATTCTTCATGCAGCCCCTGCATCTGATGCGTAACAGTGCAGGATCTCCCTCTTCAGTGTGCTCTGACTGCAGAGCCTGCTCCATTTCTAAGCAGTTGCTCTTGCTTCAGCTCTGTGGTGATGTAATCTTATGAACAGCTTTCTAGGTAATCTTCCCCCTGGTTTGATCTGGCCCCCTGGACCTCACACCAGTATACTGACCAGTAGGCTACCTTCTCAGGTCTGTCTTGACCTTGGCCATGAGAATAGATTTTTAAAAAATGTTTATACCTCTTGATTTCTTCAACTAAGATTGTGTATTTCTTGAAACAAAGATTATTAATCTTCATTTTCTTCCCCACACTACCTAATACAGTTCCTGGTGATAAAAATATTAGTTAATTGATTTAATTTATTCCCTGACCACCAATACAGCCCTCACATTATATTCTGAGTGAGCAGAGTAGGCAGCTGCTGGTGTGATATAAATTTAGAGTTTAGGAAAGCTCTCCCAGCCCAAGGACTATTTCCCTCTGCCAGGATACCTAAAATAACCACATTACTCACTCCTTTGAGTCAAGGCCTTGAAAATTCTTGTTAAAATGCAAATGTCATCTGGGAGGGATAAATTGAAGCTATCAATGCCTATTAATAACATAGAATATTATTAGCTTAGCAGAGAATAAGAAAGATCTAGAATATAGAAGGGCAGGCTTAAGAAAGCCCCCAAATTTAGGACCCAGTGAAAACAAGAATAGCATTTTGGCAATAGGTGGATGCATACTGAAAGAAACAAGGATCTCAGAAAACTAAAATAAGATGAGAGTAAAAAAGGACCTGTTATAGCACAAAAAAAAAGATTAATAATAACAGCTAATTTTTTTTACAGAGATGGGGTCCCCCTATGCGGTCCAGGCTAGAATGCAATGGCTATTCACAGACATAATCATAGCGCACTACAACCTTGAACTCTTAGGCTCAAGCATTCCTCCTGCCTCAGCCTCCCGAGTAGCTGAGACTACAGGTCCGTACCCAAATAACAGCTAATATTTTAAAGTACCTACTCTATGCCAGATAGTGGTCTGGGTGCTTTGCATGTATTTCTTCACTTTTCGTTTTTTCATATGAGATAGACATAATTATTCGTCACTTTCAGGTGAAGAAGCCAAGGTAGAGAGACATTTATTGATTACGGCCGGGCGCGGCAGCTCATGCCTGTAATCACAGCACTTTGGGAGGCTGAGGCAGGTGGATCGCTTGAGGTCAGGAGTTCTAGACAAGCCTGGCCGGCATGGCAAAACCCTGTCTCTACTAAATATAAAAATTAATTGGACGTGGTGGCCCACACGTGTAATCCCAGTTACTTGGGAGGCTGAGGCACAAGGATCACTTGGACCCTGGAGGCAGAGCTTGCAGTGAGCCAAGATCCTGCCACTGCACTCCAGCCTGGATGACACAGTGAGACTCTGTCCACACCACCCCCCTGCCACCCCCAAAAAACAAAATCAAGACATTGATTTGTCCAATGTTAGAAAGCTAGTAAGGGTGTGTACAGATGGAATTTGGACAAGCTGTCTGGTTCCAGGATCTCTTTGTTGAACCTCTGTACCACAGGGTCACTGTGTTTGGTTGTTGCTTTCATTAATATGGTCCTGATTTTAATCACAGAAAGGTGCTGTTCACTCATCTCAGTCTCCCTTATCTACATTCGAGTAGTCTCCCAGTCCTAAGGACTCTATCTTTCAGTGTGTCTATTCCTTTCCATTTCTCCTACAACCTAGCTCAAGTTCCCTTTATTTTTCTAGAAAGCAATCGCTGCATGCCAGGCACCATGATATCTTATCTCATTTAAGCTTTCAATGAAATACTAATAATTTCTACATGAAGAAACTGAGGCACAGGAAGGTCAGTCACCTGCCCCACTTCCCAAAGTCACTCTATAAATATTACTCTTGGGATTTGCACCCCAGAGTCTGACTTCAGAGCCCATACTCATATTCACCATGTGATCTAACTACCTGGCTATCCTAAGAGCTTCCTACCTTGCCTCCCTGTTGCTGGTCTTTGTTTTGCCCCATCCCCACACCACAAACAATAAAGTCTACTTTGTTACTTTGTCCACACTGACTCCTAATCTGTCATTCAAGGCTATGGATGCTGAGACATCCACCTCATGCCACTCCAGACATAAGTACCTACAGAAAAGTCACTGATACATTTGATTACATTAAAAAAAATGTTGGCCAGGCACAGTGGCTCACACCTGTAACCCTAGCACTTTGGGAGGCCAAGGGGGGTGGATCACCTGAGGTCAGGAGTTTGAGACCAGCCTGGCTAACATGGTGAAACCCCTGTCTCTACTAAAAATATAAAAATTAGCCCAGCATAGTGATGCACGCCTGTAATCCCAGCTACTCAGGAGGCTGACACGGGAGAATCGCTTGAACCCATTTCACTCCAGCCTGGGTGACAGAGCGAGACTCCATCTCAAAAAAAAAAAAAAAGTGACATAGGAGGGAAAACAGGCAATTTAGAGGCTTAAAGCCAATGAAAAACGTTTGAACTTAATCATAGTTGAAGAAATACCAGGCTGGGCATGATGGCTTACACCTGCAATTCCAGCACTTTGGAAGGCCAAGGCAGGAGAATCACTAGAGTCCAGGAGTTCGAGACCAGCCTGGGCGACTTAGTGAGTCTCCATCTCTACAAAATACTTAAAAATTAGCCTGGCACAGCAGTGTGCACCTGTGGTCCAAGCTACTTGGGAGACTGAGATGGGAGGATCACTCGGGCTCAGGAGGTTGAGGCTGCAGTAAGCCACCCTGGGCAACACAGCAAGACCCTGTCTCAAAAAGGATGGAAGGAAGGAAGGGAGGGAGGGAGGGAGGGAGGGAAGGAAGGGAGGGAAAGAAAGAAGAAAGAAAGAGAGAAAGAAAGAGAAGAAAGGAAGAGAAAGAAAAAGAAAGGGAGGAAGGAAGGAAGGGAGGGAGGGAAAGGAGGGAAAGAAAGAGAAGAGGGAAAGAGAGAGAAAAAGAGAGAATGGGAGGAAGGGAGGAAGGGAGGGAGGAAGGAAAAGAAAGAGAGGGAGAAAGAAAGAAAGGCAGAAAGAAGAAAGAAAGAAAGAAAAAGAAAGAAAGAAGAAAGAAAGAAAGAAAGAAAGAAAGAAAGAAAGAAAGAAAGAAAGAAAGAGAAAGAAAGAAAGAGAAAGAAAGAAAGAAAGGGCGGGAAGGTGGTTTAAATTTTTTACTTTTTATTTTGAGACGGAGTTTCACTCTGTCACCCAGGCTGGAGTGCAGTGGTGTGATCTCCGCTAACTGCAACCTCCACCTCCCGGGTTTAATCGATTCTCCTTTCTCATCCTCCCGAGTAGCTGGGATTACAGGTATGCACCACCACAGCTGGCTAATTTTTGTATTTTTAGTAGAGATGGGGTTTCACCATGTTGGCCAAGCTGGTCTCAAACTCCTGACCTCAAATAATCCACACACCTCGCCTTCCAAAGTGCTGGGATTACAGGCAGGAGCCACGGCACCTGGCCTGACATGGTATTATTTCTTACCTATTGGTTTGGACAAAATTTTTAAGATTGATACCTAGTCTTGGAGAGAGTGGAAAAAGGGGTCTTTATAGACTATAATTTGGAAAGTAAATTAGTGCAGCTTTTTTGTAGGGCCATTTAAGATTATTTACCAAAATGTAAAAAGCACATACCATTTGACTGAACATTTCTATAACAAAAAAATGTCTTCTATGGACATAGTTAAACAAGAATAGCTGCTCTAGGGTGTTCACTGTAGCAATTTTTGGTAAGAAACCCCAATTACTGGTAAGTGGGTCATAGAAAATAAATTGTGATGTCATGAATACATTTCCAAAGATTATCTATGCTAAACTGCAATGGTCCCCAAATTAGGTTATAATCACCAAGAAAATATTACACCTAATATTTAATATATATTTATGCATTTTAACTTACCTTTCTTAAATATACTTTTATGTATGTTTTAAAGTGTACATGATAGATTAATGTAGTGGTGTAGGTATATGATTTATAAATAAACATACATATGTTGGCATTAAATGACAAAAAGCGTTTGTTGTTAGGAATGCAGCAATTCAAATTTGTGCTGGAGATTGATATACAGGGTAAAGATCAAATGCCGTAGCATGTCACCCATACAAGGCCTTCAGCAACAGGGCTTTCAATTACCCTACTTCTCTCACCTCCTTTTCCACTCCTTTTTCTCTTCCCCAACCCAAGGCAGCATATGGCCCAGGAAACCAATTTACTCACGGGTTCTTAGTTATGTGTGTCTCTTGTGCTCCTACATGTTTTGCTGGGTGTACCAAGAATTCAAGGCCTTGACTAATCTTTACCAGGGCCATTTCTCAGGGCTATGTCTGAAGCAAGCAGCCTTCAGGGATGAGGCAATGTCTCCCTCTGGGACAAAGAGCAAGGATGTGGGGCCCCACTCAGAACCCTGGAGTTGGTATAAAGATTATTTTAAGTTGAAAACATTAGAGATTCAATAGATGCAGAAAGCCTTGTTGGAATGTCCCTTATCTGACTAAAAGCAGCAACTTCTAGGAAATGAGGCTACCATAAACTCCCTCTTCGGGGTGGGTCTTACCACCAGAAAAAAAGGCCAAGAGCAAATCTACCATAAGTACTCTTTCCACAGGAGTTATATGGCCATGGAGAAGATGGAAAAGACCACTAGCACCCACATAAACAAACTTTATCACCAGCTTTCTTATCTCCCAATTTGTTGCCCAGAAACCAATCTGTTTTTACCATGGAAGCCCTTTCTCCTCCCTCCTTTTCTTTAAGTTAGGTATATGCACCTCTAACTTTAACCACTTAATGAAGCTAGCTACTTTTTTGGTTAATTCCCATATGCATACAAATAAAACCCTTTTTCCTCCTGTTAATCTGTCTTTTGTCAGATTAACTTGCAGGCCCTCATTTAAAGAAATTAAGAGGATAGAGGAAAATTTTTCTCTCTCTGACAATGCGCATGTTGCTTGCCATGATATAGATAATATAGCCCTTTGTAACTTACCCAGGAGTCTCATATCTTCTGCCAACATCCATGAAACCATAACAAACTCCGTAAATAGGGTGTAAGTAGATTAAAGATAAATCTTAGACTCAACAATGGAGCATTTTCCTCCCTTCTATTACACTGCCCACAATTCCCTTAGCTTGAAATACGTTTTCTCCAGTCTTTGCTTCTTTGTGACTTCTTTTTTTACTTTCTTTTATGGATAATATAGTGTTTAAATCCATTTGTTTCCTACTGACTTCAAAATTATACTTTATATATTTATTCTCAGATGAATCACCCTTAGGTTATGCATAGGTTTCCCTCTGAAAAGTTTCATTAGTATCTCCTTACTTCTCTCAAACTACAAAGACGTCAGAATGCTTTAACACAAATCATATGTCCACTTTTTCCATGTTATCTATTGTCAGTGAAAAGAATCAAACTCTGTAAAATATCTAAAGAAGTTTATTCTTAGCAAAATATAAGTGACCATGGCCCAAGAGGTCCTAAGAACATGTCCCCATTGTGGTTAAGTTACAGTGCTTGGTTTTACGTGTTTTAGGGAGACCTAAGACATCAACCAATAAGTGTAAAGTACACATAGGTTTGGTCTGCAAAGGTGGGACAATTAGAAGCAGTGGGGCTTACAGGTCATTGGTGGATTCAAAGATTTTCTGATTGGCAATTGGTGGAAAGAGTTATTATCTGAAGACCCAGATTCGATAGATAGGAGTGTCTGGGTTAAGATAAGGGGTTGTAGAGACCAAGGTTCTTGGTAATGTAGAGGAAGCCTGCAAGTAGAAGGCTTCAGAGAGAATAGATAGTAAATGTCTCTCATCAGACCTTAAAAGATGCCAGATTCTTGGTTAAATCTCTTCTGGCTCAGAAAAAGACCTGAAAAGGGAAGAGGATTCTTTACAGAATATAAATTTCCCCCACAACAGGCAGCTTTGCAGGGCCATTTCAAAATACTTCAAAGAAATATATTCCACTGCACTCCAGCCTGGGTGACAGAGCAAGACTCCGTCTCAAAAAAAAAAAAAGAAATATATTTTGATGTAAAATACTTAGATACTTTCAGGGCCTGCTCCCTGTCATGTGATGCTTTACTAGAGTCAGGTTGGAATTTGATATCTTATTGCTACAAATAATCTATTTTGTCTTAAGATCTCTGTTTTAATGTTAATGCTGATCAGTTGTGCCTGAATTCCAGAGGGAGGAGAGTTGTGATGAGGCCTGTCCAGAACACTCTTACCATTATGACCTGAAATTGTGTTTTTTGTTTTGTTTTTTGTTTCTTTATGTTTCTTTCAAAACCTCCCTGGCTGAGAGGAGGGGTCCATTTAGTTGGATGGGGAGCTTAGAATTTTATTTTTTGGTTTATATATTGTTGTCTTTTATTTTAATTTTACCTCATTTTATTTCCCTCCCCTTTTATTCATTTTTTAAATTGTTTTGTTTTGTTTTTGCTAAAAAACAATTATTCAGATTCACCCCATGCTTACCAAATGTTTTACTCATCATTACTTCATGCATCCCAATCCTTCTTTCTAGGTTTAATCTCTTTCTTGTATTGAAGTATATCCTTTAATAGTTCTTTCAGCAATGGCCTGTAATTGGTAAATTATTTCAGCTACTTCATCTAAAACACCCTTATTTCATCCTCACTCTTTGGAGACCATTATAGCAAACGTTTTTAAAACTTTAGTATGCACAAAAATAATCTGGGGAAGTTTGTTAAATGCAGTTTCTCAGGTCCCTTTGAGTTCTATTTTAGTAGTTTTGGAAGGAAGGGGCCAGGAATCTACCTTTTCTACTAACTCTTCAAGTAATTCCGATGTAACTATGTCAAGCCTACACTTTGAGAAGAAATTAGGCTATAGACAGAGATAGCCATGGAAAAGATTTTTTGTTTTTTTACATTTTTAAATAAAAGTAATACATGCTCATTTAAGACATTTTTAGGACAATAGAGAAATAGGGAAGAAAAAGTCACTTAATTCTATCCAAATACAATTACTGCCAGTATTATGAAATAGAATTGATCCTCACCATGCAGAGGATCTGCAAATGCAGATTCTATATTTGCAAATTCTGCCTACCCCTAAAATTTATTTGTAACCCAAAAATCAAAATTTGTGGTCATTCATGGACATGCAGACAGCAATGAAAAGTTTGAGTCATCTCCCCAACCTGCGGATGCTCCTAACTGATATCAAAGAAGGTCCTGCTCTGCCTTCTTGTTTCAGCTCCCATATAGATGTGATCAGAGGATGCAGAAGGTAGTGGGGTGGGGCAGAGTAGTTCAAGAAGCTCTAGCTCTGGGGCCAGTAGGACAGGGGCAGCCCATGCTGACATTTATTGCAACAGCCTTAGGCAAGTCTCTTAACACTTTTGAACCTCATTTTTTTTCTTTGTAAAATAAAGAAAATAAAATCTACCAAGATGACTTGTTTTTAGGATTTAAGATTATAATCTATGTGAGATATGTGATATATGTGTGTGTGTATATCTATGTGAGATATATAGAAACACGCATGACTCATATAGAAACAATGACTCAGTATTCACTAATTCAGTGTTCACAGACTTTATGGAACATAACTATCATCATGAGAATCAACCATATTTCCTTCTAGACTTTTTAATATGTGTAAATTTTTTGCAATGTTGCTGTTGAGATTTATATGATGCATTTATAAGGTTAGCTTCTCCCACTCATGATCATCTTCCTCTAGTGTGGTGGTTTCAACCTGGCTGCACATTAGAGTCACCTGGGAAGCTTTAGAAAACATTGATGCCAGCCAGGCATGGTAGCTCACGCCTGTAATCCCAGCACTTTGGGAGGCCAAGGTGGGTGGATCACCTGAGGTTGGGAGTTCAAGACCAGCCTGGCCAGCATGGTGAAACCCTGTCTGTACTAAAAATACAAAAATTAGCCAGGGATGGTGACAGGCGCCTGTAATCCCAGCTACTCAGGAAGCTGAGGCAGGAGAATCGCTTGAATCCGGGAGGCAGAGGTTGCAGTGAGCCAAGATCACGCCATTGCACTCCAGCCTGGGCAACAGAGCGAGACTCCATCTCAAAAATAAATAAATAAATAAATAAATAAATAAATAAATAAATAAATAAATAGAAAACATTGATGCCCAGACCCCATCCACAGACATTCAGATTCAATTGTTACAAGGCTGGTCCCAGGCATTAGCTGCATTTAAGAGCTCCAGATTGTTCTAATGAACAACCTGAGGTCAAATCTCTGTTTAATCTATTTGGAAAGGAAGCCCCTGGTCTCAGTGCACTTTGGAGTCATCCATTTGGCAGCCCCCTCTCCCTATAGTGTCCTGCTCCCCGTCTCCCTATGGTGTCCTTCTCCCCCACTCCCTGCTCTGTTCTTGCCATAGCTCTTTCTTCTTCTTGTCAGTGCCTGGAACTCAGGCCTACTGTCCTTCCCAGGGCAATGCTGCCATTTGTGCCACTGATCTGGTAGAAGGGTGAGGTAGGAAAGGCCCTACAGTGCCTTTACTAACTCACCTCTTAGTCTCCTCACAACAGTGTCCCACAAGGCTGGAAGAGAATAGCAGGCTTTACTGGGAGATTGGAGGCAATGAAAGGAGACTGCAGAGCAAAATGAAAACTGCCAATCAGGCACCAAAAGTGATTGCTTCAATCGTCTAAGGAAAAATCACCACCACCACCCAAAAAATGTTCACCCAGACCCCTGCCTCCTGCCCTCTTCAGTCCTTATCAATCCATAGGACACGCCCTTAGTAGGATGTTTCCCAAAATATGAGTTTCTGAGTCTAGAATAACATTCCATAAACAATGGAAAGGGATCTCTCTACCATTGTGAGATAAAGATATACTTCTGTTTTTCTTCCTGACAGTTCAGCAGGTAACCACTGAATCAAATGCACACACACACACACACGCGCGCATGCACAGAGAGAGAGAGAGAGGGAGAGAAAGAGATAGAGAAAGAGAGAGAAATTCACAGATAAAGCACATATCATGGATGTAGAGAAACATTTTCCTCAGTGTGCGTTAACATAGCTCCCATATATATTGAAGATGATCTTTTACTTTATTATTCCAGTAACTTCAGCCTGGCCACCCCACAGCTATTACTTAAACTCCTGCTTAGAAATCCTTCCTAGAGGCCTGTTAGTGTTTAATTGTCCCGTTTATGCATCTTTTTAAAGCATCACAGCCACATGCCTCAATGGCCATGCTTTGGGTGCCACAAAGAAATAGCAAAACATTCATAAAATCTACCCAGTCCAATGTCCTGAAGGATTTCCCTTTTGTTTTCTTCTAGTAGTTTTATAGTTTGAGGTCCTACCTTTAAATCTTTCATCCATTTTGAGGTAGTTTTTCTATATGATGAGAGATAGAGGTCTAGTTTTATTCTTCTGCATATGGATATCCAATTTTCCCAACTCCATTTATTGAAGAGGCTATCCTTTCCCCAGTGTATATTATCAGCACCTTTGTCAAAAACTGGTTGGCTGTAAATATGTGGATTTATTTCAGAGTTCTTTATTCTGTTCCACTGGTCTATGTGTATGTTTTTCTACCAATACTATGCTGTTATGGTTACTATAGCTTTGTAGTATTATAGATTTTGATGTTAGATAGTGTGATGCCTCCATCTTTGTTCTTTTTACTCAGGGTTTCTTTGGCTACTTGGGGTCTTTTGTGGTTCCACACAAATTTGAGAATTGTTTTTTCTATTTCTATGAAAAATGTCATCAGTATTTTGATAGGGACTGTGTTGAATCTGTAGATTGCTTTTGGTAGTATGGTCATTTCAAAAATATTAACACTTCTAGTCCATGAACATAGGATGTATTTCCATTTTTTGTGTGGCTTTTTCAATATCTTTCATCAGTGTTTTGTAGTTTTCATTGTAGAGATCTTTTGCATCCTTGGTTAAACTTATTCCTAGGTAAAATTTTTGTAGTGGGGACAATTTGACTTTCTCTTTTCCCATTTGGATGTCCTTTGTTTCTTTCTCTTGCTCCAGCTAGGATTTCCAGTAGTGTGTTGAATGAGAGTGGTGAAATTGGGTATTCTTGTCTTGTTCCATTTCCTAAAGAAAAAGACTTCAGTTTTTCCCCATTCAGTATGATGTTAGCTATAGGTTTGTCATATATGGACTTTATTATGTTTAGGTATGTTCCTTCTATGCCCAGTTTGTTGAGGACTTTTATCATGAAGTGATGCTGAATTTTATCTAATGCTTTTGCTGTGTCTATTGAGATGCTCATGTGGATTTTGTCCTTAATTCTGTTTATGTGAGGTATCATGTTTATTGATTTGCATATATTGAACCATCCTTGCATCCCTGGGATAAATCCCACTTATCCTCACGTATTATCTTGTTGATGTGCTGTTGGATTGCATTTGCTGGCATTTTGTTGAGGATTTTTTACATCTATGTTCATCAGGGATATTGGCCAGTTGTTTTCTTTTTTTGTCATGTCCATGTCTGGTTTTGGTATCAGGGTAATGCTGGTCTCATAGATCAGGGGGTTTAGAATAATTCCCTCCTTTTCAATTTTTTGGAATACTTTGAGAAAAATTGGTGTTAGTTCTTCTTTAAAGATTTGGTAGAAGTCAGCGTGAAGTCACCTGGTCCTAGGCTTTTCTTGATTGGGAGACTTTTTACACTACTAGTGGGAACCTAAATTATGAGAGTCATTACAGAAAACAGTATGGAGATTCCTTAAAAAGCTAAAAATAGAACTACCATAGGATCCAGCAATCCCACTATTGGGTATTTATCCAAAGAAAACGAAATCAGTATATTGAAGGGATCTATGCACCCCCATGTTTACTGCAACATTTACAATAGACAAGATGTGGAATCAACCTGTGTCCATCAACAGATAAATGGATAAAAAAATGGTATATATACACAATGGAATACTATTCAGCCATAAAAAAGAATAAAAGCCTATCATTTGTAGCAACACGAATGATCTGGGAGGACATTCTGTTAAGGGAAATAAATCACGCATAGACAGACAAATACCACATGTCTTCACTCATATACAAGAGCTAAAAAAGTTGTTCTCACCCATATGTAGGACCTTAAAAAGTTGTGCTCGTGACAGCTGAGAAGTGGTTATATGGCTTGGCAGTGAAATGGATTCCGGAGCCACACTGCCCAGGTTCCCAAGTCCATGCTTCACCATGGTCACCAAAGTCACCAAGCTTTGTGACTTTGGGAAAGCCACTGAACCTTTTAAATTCCCCATGAGAGGCCGGGTGCGGTAGTTCACGCCTGTAATCCCAGCACTTTGAGAGGCCAAGGCAGGTGGATCACTTGAGGTCAGGAGTTCGAGACCAGCCTGACCAACATGGCAAAATCCTGTCACTACTAAAAATACAAAAATTAGCTCCCTCTCCCTCTCCCTCTCCCAGTCTCCCTCTGAACTGTCCTGCTGCCATCTCGGCTCACTGCAACCTCCCTGCCTGATTCTCCTGCCTCAGCCTGCCAAGTGCCTGCCATTGCAGGCGCGCGCCGCCACGCCTGACGGGTTTTCGTATTTTTTTGGTGGAGACGGGGTTTCACTGTGTTGGCCGGGCTGGTCTCCAGCTCCTAACCACGGGTGATCCGCCAGCCTCGGCCTCCCGAGGTGCCGGGATTGCAGACGGAGTCTCGTTAACTCAGTGCTCAATGGTGCCCAGGCTGGAGTGCAGTGGCGTGATCTCGGCTACAACCTCCACCTCCCAGCCGCCTGCCTTGGCCCCCCAAAGTGCCGAGATTGCAGCCTCTGCCCGGCCGCCACCCCGTCTGGGAAGTGAGGTGCGTCTCTGTCTGGCCGCCCATCGTCTGGGATGTGAGGAGCCCCTCTGCCTGGCTGCCCAGTCTGGAAAGTGAGGAGCGTCTCTGCCCGGCCGCCATCCCACCTAGGAAGTGAGGAGCGTCTCTGCCCTGCCGCCCATCGTCTGAGATGTGGGGAGCACCTCTGCCCCGCCGCCCCATCTGGGAGGTGAGGAGCGTCTCTGCCCGGCCGCCCGTCTGAGAAGTGAGGAGACCCTCGGCCTGGCAACCACCCCATCTGAGAAGTGAGGAGCCCCTCCGCCCGGCTGCCACCCTGTCTGGGAACTGAGGAGCGTCTCTGCCCGGCAGCCACCCCGTCCGGGAGGTGAGGGGCGCCTCTGCCCCGCCGCCCCTACTGGGAAGTGAGGAGCCCCTCAGCCCGGCCGGCCGCCCCGTCCGGGAGGGAGGTGGGGGAGTCAGCCCCCGGCCCGGCCAGCCGCCCCGTCCGGGAGGGAGGTGGGGGGTCAGCCCCCCACCCAGCCAGCCACCCCGTCCGGGAGGTGAGGGGCACCTCTGCCCCGCCGCCCCTACTGGGAAGTGAGGAGCCCCTCTGCCCGGCCAGCCGCCCCGTCCGGGAGGGAGGTGGGGGGGTCAGCCCCCCGCCCGGCGAGACGCCCCGTCCGGGAGGGAGGTGGGGGGTCAGCCCCCTGCCCGGCCAGCCGCCCCGTCCAGGAGGTGAGGGGCGCCTCTGCCCGGCCGCCCCTACTGGGAAGTGAGGAGCCCCTCTGCCCGGCCAGCCGCCCCGTCCGGGAGGGAGGTGGGGGGGTCAGCCCCCGGCCCGGCCAGCCGCCCCGTCCTGGAGGGAGGTGGGGGAGTCAGCCCCCGGCCCGGCCAGCCGCCCCGTCCGGGAGGGAGGTGGGGGGTCAGCCCCCCACCCAGCCAGCCACCCCGTCCGGGAGGTGACGGGCACCTCTGCCCCGCCGCCCCTACTGGGAAGTGAGGAGCCCCTCTGCCCGGCCAGCCGCCCCGTCCGGGAGGGAGGTGGGGGAGTCAGCCCCCCGCCCGGCCAGCCGCCCCGTCCGGGAGGGAGGTGGGGGGGGTCAGCCCCCCGCCTGGCCAGCCGCCCCGTCCGGGAGGGAGGTGGGGGGGTCAGCCCCCCACCCGGCGAGACGCCCCGTCCGGGAGGGAGGTGGGGGGTCAGCCCCCTGCCCGGCCAGCCGCCCCGTCCGGGAGGTGAGGGGCGCCTCTGCCCGGCCGCCCCTACTGGGAAGTGAGGAGCCCCTCTGCCCGGCCACCACCCCGTCTGGGAGGTGTACCCAACAGCTCATTGAGAACGGGCCATGATGACAATGGCGGTTTTGTGGAATAGAAAAGGGGGAAAGGTGGGGAAAAGATTGAGAAATCGGATGGTTGCCGTGTCTGTGTAGAAAGAAGTAGACATGGGAGACTTTTCATTTTGTTCTGTACTAAGAAAAATTCTTCTGCCTTGGGATCCTGTTGATCTATGACCTTACCCCCAACCCTGTGCTCTCTGAAACATGTGCTGTGTCCACTCAGGGTTAAATGGATTAAGGGCGGTGCAAGATGTGCTTTGTTAAACAGATGCTTGAAGGCAGCATGCTCATTAAGAGTCATCACCATTCCCTAATCTCAAGTACCCAGGGACACACACACTCTGCCTAGGAAAACCAGAGACCTTTGTTCACTTGTTTATCTGCTGACCTTCCCTCCACTATTGTCCTATGACCCTGCCAAATCCCCCTCTGCGAGAAACACCCAAGAATGATCAATAAAAAAAAAAAAAAAAAAAAAAAAAAAAAAAAAAGTTGTTCTCGTGTAAGTATAGAGTAGAATAGTGGTTACTAGAGGCTAGGAAGAAGAGAGGGAGGAAGGATAAAAGAGGTTGGTTAATGGATACCATATTACAGCTAGATAGGAGGAATAAGTTCTAGTAGTCTATAACACTGTAGGGTGAATATAGTTAACAACAATTTATTGTATATTTTTAAACAGCTAGAAGAGGATTTTTAATGGTTTCCAATACAAATAAATGATAACTGTTTGAGGTGACGGATATGTTAATTACCCTGAATTGATCATAACATATTGTATATATCAATATGATACACAATGTGTATCAAAATATTACACTGTCCCCATAAATATGTACAATTATTACATGTTGATTAAAAAATAATAATTTTTAGGCCAGACACAGTGGCTCACGCCTGTAATCCCAGCACTTTGGGAGGCTGAAACAGGCGGATCACTTGAGGTCAGGAGTTCAAGACCAGCCTAGCAAACATAGTGAAAGCCTGTCTCTACTAAAAATACAAAAACTAGTTGGTGTTGTGGCAGGCGCCTGTAATACCAGCTACTCGGGAGGCTGAGGCAGAAGAATCACTTGAACCTGAGAGGCAGAGGTTGCAGGGAGCTGAGATTGCTCCACTGCACTCCAGCCTGCGAGACAGAGCAAGACTGTCAAAAAAAAAAAAAGTTAAAGAAATATCAAAGCATTGAAAGCACTTCTTTCTTTCCTGTTACAGTAAATCATTTTCTTAGGGCATTTCAAAGACTAGCTTTTGTCAGTAGTAGAAGGCAATATGAGGATGTATTATCCTCCCATCTAGGCTACTTCTCTACCTCGCCTGAGGGTAAAGTGATGGAGATGAGAGGAGAAAAATGAAGGCTTCAACTCTTCTTCTGTATGTTGTGATTTTGAATTTTAACACAGTTTTATATTTTAATATATTTACTTAGCATTATAGCGTAAACACTTTCCCATGCTATAAAATAGTATTTTTAGTAGCTACAGAATATTTCATTGAATAGATATACAATGACTACTTAACTATTTCTCTATGTGTACATTAGGTTTCCCTCCAATTTTTCATTATCTTAAATAAGGCTGCAATAAACGTCTCTCATATACAGCACTTTCCTTACAGCTACTTGCTGAGGATGGATGCTTAAAAGTAGAACTGCTAGGCCAGGCTCAGTGGCTCACGCCTGTAATCTCAGCACTTTGGGAGGCAGACAAAGGCAGATCACACGAGGCCAGGAAATCGAAACCAGCCTGGGCAATATGGTGAAACCCCATCTCTACTAAAAATAATTTTTTTAAAAAATTAGCCGGGTGTGATGGCGTGCTCCTGTATTCCCAGCTACTCAGGTGGCTGAGGCATGAGAATCCCTTGAACCCTGGAGATGGAGGTTAAAGTGAGCCAAGATTGTGCTACTGCACTCCAGCCTGAGCAACAAGCAAGATCCTATCTCAAAAAACAAATAAATAAATAAATAAAATCAGTTTAAATAAAAATAAATAAACAAATAAAAGTAGAACAACTAAACTGGTGCTGTAGCATGTGCCTGTAATCCCAGCTGTTTGGGAGGCTGAGTCAAGAGGATCCCTTGTGCCCAGCAGCTTGAGACCAGCTTGAGCAACATAGTAAGATTCTGTCTCACAAATATATATACCTTTTGACCAGTAGGGGTTTGTTTTGTTTTGTTTTTGAGATGGGATCTCATCATGTTGCTCAGGCTGGGCTCCAATTCCTAGCCACAAGTGATCCTCTGGCCCCAGCCTCCCAAGTACCTGGGACTATAGTCACGTGTCACTGGGCCTGGCTTTGTTTTCTAAATTCTTGATAAATATTGGCAAACACTTTTCTCTGAAAGACATGTGTACATTTAGACCTTTACCAGAAACATATGAGACTGGATGTGGGTGATTTTAAAACCAAAAAAATGACATGATCAGATTTTTAAAAGGTTATGTCTGACTTCATGTCTGGGCCTAATTAGATGGTGGGGGGTTATGGTAGTCCAGGTACAGATGGTGAGGGCCTGGTAAGAACTAGAGGGAAGGTGCTGGGCGCAGTGGCTCACGCCTGTAATCCCAGCACATTGGGAGGCTAAGGCGGGCAGATCACTTGAGGTCAGAAGTTTGAGACCAGCCTGGCCAACATGGTGAAACCTCATCACTACTAAAAATACAAAAATTAGCCCCAGGTGTGGTGGTGGGCACCTGTAATCCCAGCTACTTGAGAGGCTGAGGCAGGAGAATCACTTGAACCCAGGAGGCAGAGGTTGCAGTGAGCAGAGATCACACCACAGCACTCTAGCCTGGGCAACAAAGCAAGACTCCATCTCAAAAAACAAAACAAAACAAAACAAAAAAACAAAAACAAAACTGGAAGTAAGGCTTCTTTAAGTAGGCTTAGTCACCAGACAACCAGCAAAGAAGAAAGGCCTTTAAATTGCCACGTATCTATTCCACAGTTAAGACATCACATATTGTCTGCTGTGTTTGCTTGAAGGTTACTGCAGCATCTGAGGATCCTTGAGGATGTTTTCTGTTCACATAAAGACACATGATGCAGAAAGGTCATAAATATGTCATGTCATATTAAAGTAGAAAGAAGCACAGAAAGGCTCAGATATTTTTTACATTCAAGCTTTCTTTTTTAAAAAACAAAATGCTTTCCTTACTTCATTTCTTATTGCAAAAATAAGCCATGCTCACTTTCCTACTTGGAATTGTCATGCTGCTTCTCTCACATCCTAGAGAGCTTTAACGTCTTTTTGATAGTCCTACAGCCTCAGAATAAATTTCCCTCAAGACCATTTTAGAGCCTAAAAATAGCTATAGTGTTAGAGTTACCTTTTCCTTGAGTAAGAAAGGTAATCTTTATAAATCACTTTAAATTGTCCATTTACAACTAACTAGAACTTAAATCTCTATTTTAAAGTTCTTAAGCTTGCCTTATAAACCTAAATACACAAAGAGTATTGACCTAAACCCTGACTCTTGGCTATATTAACTCTAATTGTCAACTGCAGCAGCAATTTACTCAACTAAATGGGATAAAATCATCCAAGAAGAAAAAGAAGAGGAGGATGGCGAGAGGAGGAGGAAGGGGAAGGGAAGAAAAAGAAAGATGAAGAGGAAGAAAAATGCTTATTTCATGTAGTTTTACCTAATTTGTTTGGTTTATCCTTCACTTCCATGGAAATTTGCTTAGAGATTAAAAAATTAAATCTGTCTATAAGGGAAACATGGAATAATATTTCATCACAATAAATTTTAATGCACTTCTTCTTCATCTCTATGTATCTGTCTAAGTTGGTTCCTTCATATGTGATACTTCCACAAAAATTGGAAATTACTATTTTTACAACCAGCTCCCTCATTCTTGCCTTGTCCCTGCTACTGCAGAATCTGCTCCACATGCTTCATACAGTAAGTCTCATTTAAGGATAAACCAAAAGCTACAGAGTGTCCAGCACCTTCAAGAACAGAAGTAATTTCATCAGCTGATTTTCCGCAGATTATAACTGGCTTTCCTCTACTACCAACTCCAGTTTTTTTAACCGACAAAATCACACTTTTGTTCAAAAATAGTGGTTAGCCCCAGCAAGCCTGCATAAATCTATTTACCCCCATAATATATCTATAGTATTGCATTTATACTACTACCAAAGTGATCACATACTAGAAGAAATAGTTACAGCCTGTGCGTGTGTGTGTGTATTTTAAGAGATGGGGTCTCATTCTATCACCCAGGCTGAAGTGCAGTGGCATGATCATAGCTTGCTGCAGCTTCCAATTCCTAGGCTCAAGCAAGCCTCCCATATCAGCCTTCTGATTCCCTGGGATTACAAGCATAAGCCGCCCAGCCCAGTTCTAGTTTTTATTACATTAAGAAGTAAGGTTTTCAACCAAACTTTTAAAGTGTCAAGTATCAGGAAGGCACTTCACTGGCAATGAGGGAAAACAATTGGAGGCTCAGGCACTACAAGGAAGGGAAGAAGGAAGGGATGGGAGAGAGGAAAAGAGGAAAGGAAGAAGGGAGGAAGGGAGGGAGGGAATATAATAAATAGATACCTCATATCTATCATCTATCTATCTATCTATCTATCTATCTATCTATCTATCATAATATATAACTAAATGTAAACAAAGTTCCATATTTTGACCCAATTAGAAATCCAAAACTTATATACTAAAGAATTTATATAACAAAAAGATTTTAAAAGGTCTGGTTGGCTTTTGTGCTTCTACAACACAGGTTTTAACTTAACTTTAGCATTTGTTACAATACACCAGTTGACAAAACTTCATGGATTTAATCAACACTGGGCTCAAATTATAGTCATTCATGGGAATCACATGAAATTTAAACACTGTGCTTCCCTATGATCTTGAGAAGGTAACTAAATATAATATAAAGAAAAAAATGGGTATGTCTCACTTTAACTATAGCCTTGCCTAAATTTCCCATAGTCAGAGTATCCATTGCTGTTTATATTGGGCATATATACTCTGATAAATTAAAATTAAAATAAGTTTATAGTGGTTACAAACTGCCTTGATAAAATGTGACACTGTGAACCCCCAGTTAAAATAGTTAATATGGCCCAACAAGTTAAAACTGGGCCTTCAAGAATTAAAATGTATTATGTATATATATATAGAGAAAATCCAGTTAATAAAGGGTCCCCATTACTTCTACATTTGAGAACTGATATGGTTTGGCTCTGTGTCCCTACCCAAATCTCCTCTTGAATTGTAATCCCCACGTATCGAGGGAGGGGCCTGGTGGGAAGTGATTGAATTGTGGGGAGGTTTCCGCCATGCTGTTCTTTGATAGTGAGGGAGTTCTCACTAGATCCGATGGTTTAAAAGTGGCAGTTTCCCCTGTACGCTCTCTCTCTTGCTGTCTTGTGAAGAGGGTACTTCCTTCTCCTTCACCTTCCACCATGATTTTAAGTTTCCTGAGGCCTCCCAGCCATGCAAAACTGTGAGTCGATTAAACCTCCTGCCTTTATAAATTACCCAGTCTCAGGCAGTTCTTTATAGTGTGTGAAAACAGACTAATACAGAGAATTGGTACCGGGAGAGGGGCACTGCTATAAAGATAACCTGAAAATGTGGAAATGACTTTGGAACTGGGTAACAGGCAGAGGTTGAGACAGTTTGGAGGACTCAGAAGAAAATGGAGGGGTAGTGGGAGGGAAAGCATCAGGAAGAATAGATCATGGACACTGGGCTTAATACCTGGGTGATGGGATGATGTGTACAGCAAACCACCATGGCACACATCTACCTATGTAACAATTCTGCACATCCTGCACACGTATCCTGCAACTTAAAATAAAAGTTGAAGAAAAAAAATCCCTTATGTATTAAAAAAGAACAGAAAGAAGGCAGGAAGATATGGGAAAGTTTGGAACTTCCTAGAGACTTGTTGAATGATTTTGACCAAACTGCTGATAGTGATATGGACAATGAAGTCCAGGCTGAGGTGGTCTCAGATGGAAATGAGGAACTTAATGGGAACTGGAGTAAAGGTCACTCATGCTATCCTTTAGCAAAGAGACTGGCAGCATTTTACCCCTGCCCTAGAGATCTGTGGGACTTTGAACTTGAGAGAGATGATTTAGGGTATCTGGGGAAGAAATTTCTAAGCAGCAAAGTGTTCACGAAGTGTCCTGGCTGTTTCTGAAAGCATTCAGTCATATGCATTCACAAACAGATTATCTAAAACTGGAACTTTTATTTAAAAGGAAAGCAGAGTATAAAACTTAGGAAAATTTGCAGCCTGATGATGAGGTAGAAAAGAAAAACCCATTTTCTAGGGAGAAATTCAAGCTGGCTGCAGAAATTTGCATAAGTAAAAAGGAACCAAATGTTAATAGCCAAGATAACGGGGAAAATGTCTGCAGGGCATGTCAGAGATCTTTGCAGCAGCCTCCCCAGTTACAGGCAGGCCCAGAGGTGTAGGAGGAAAAAATGGTTTTGTGGGCCAGGCCCAGGGCACCACTGCTCTGTGCATCCCCAAGAGTTGGTGCCCTATATCACAGCCACTCTAGCTTCAACCGTGGCTAAAAAGGGCCAAGCCATTTGCCATTGACTGAGCCATTGCGTCAGAGGGTGCAAGCTCCAAGCCTTGGCAGCTTCCATGTGGCACTGTGCATGTGGGTGCACAGAAGACAAAAGTTGAGCTTTGGGAGCCTCCACCTAGATTTTAGAGGATGTATGGAACTGCCTGGATGTCCATGCAGAAGTCTGCTGCAGGGGCAGAACCCTCATGGGGAATGCCTACTAGGGCAATGCAGAGGGAAATGTGGGGTTGAAGCCCCCACACAGAGTCCCCACTGGGCACTGCTTAGTGGAACTGTGAGAAGAGGGCCACTGTCCTCCAGACCCCAGAATGGTAGATCCATTGACAGCTTGCACCATGCACCTAAAAAGCCACAGGCACTCAACATGAGCCCATGAAAACAGCCACAGGGGCTGTACCCTGCAGAGCCACAGGGGCAGAGCTGTGGAAGCCCACCTCTTGCATCAGCATGTCCTGGATGTGAGATCATTTCACAGCTTAAGATTTCATGACTGCCCCACTGGCTTTTGGACTTGCATAGAGCTGTGGAACCCTTTGTTTTGGCTGATTTCTCCAATTTGGAACGGGAACAGTTACCCAATGCCTGTATCCCCATTGTATCTTGGAAGTACCTAACTTGTTTTTTGTTTTATAGGCTCATTGGTGGAAGGGGCTTGCCTTGTCTCAGATGCTGGATTTAGAATTTTGGGCTAATGGTGGAATGAGTTAAGACTTTGGGGGACTGTTGGGAAGGCATGATTTTTGAAATGTGAAGAGGACATGAGATTTGGGAGGGGCCAGGGACAGAATAATATGATTTGGCTCTGTGTTCCCACCCAAATCTTATCTCAAATTGTAATCCCCACACGTCAAGGGAGGGACCTGATGAGTGATTGGATCATGGGGACAGTTTCTCCCATGCTGTTCTAGTGAGAGGGAGGGAGTTCTCATCATATCTGATGGTTTAAAAGTGGCAGTTTCCCCTGTGCTCTTTCTGTCTCCTGCTGCCTTGTGAAAAGGGCACTTTCTTCTCCTTTGCCTTCCACCATCATTCTAAGTTTCCTGAGGCCTCCTCAGCCATGCAGAACTGTGAGTCAATTAAAACTCTTTCCTTTATAAATTACCTGTCTTAGGGAGTTCTTTATAGCAGTGTGAAAACAGACTAATACAACAGCTCAATTTTACTTTGTTCTTAAACCTTTAAAAAGGTGGTGGGAGAGTTCGTGATGGATTGCTGTAAACTTAATGCTGTGCTCTCATGCATCAAGGCCCTAGACCCAATATCCAATATTATTAAGATTACTGATTCTATCCAATCAACAACTGGTAAGTAGTTTTCTGTTATAGATTGGCTAAGATGTTCTGTTCAGTGCTTATTTAAACAATCTCTCAGCTACAGTTTTCCTCTACCTCCAAAGGGACACAATATGCCTTTTCAGGCTATCCATGGGGTACCCTAGCAGCTTTTTTGTCACATGCAATCGTTTCAGATAAGATCTTGATGACATCCACCTTTCTCCAGGAGCACAAGTAAAACGTTACATTGATAACATCCTCTTTCAAGGAGATTAATTTGCCACACTCAATAAGGACATATAAGTCTTTTATCCCTTTGTAGGTCCTGGGGGCAACAGACACTGCATTTGCAAATTATACTTACAAATTATAATCAACAGGCACTCCTGCTAGTGCCTTCAAATGACTCCTTCATTGTATAGGCTTAGGCAATCTCTTCTTAGGCCTCCTAGAATCTCTGGACCACTTATGATGGCCATTAGCTGCCCCAGGGTTTCGGATGCAAAAAGACTGCCATTTTCAGCCTCATTCTATACACCATGAGAATAACAAATGCCTAACTACCTGCTGGGATGTCCTAGAAATAGAGGCTCTCACAGAACCTGAGCCTGTGACCCTCCATATTCAGCTGCCTGTTTTGCTTTGGGTCATGAAACAGCACCCACAAACACAGCATGGCTACCAAGGCCTCTGTAAGACCAGATAGATCCAAACCTGGAGCCTCTGGCATATTCCACTTGCAGGAGGCAGTGGCTTCCCCTGTTCTCAGTCTCTTGCAAGATGCCAGGTTGCTAGAGGAGGTCACCCCATCCTCAGACTCCTTGACTACATAGAAAGCCCTTTGGGATTACCTGGGTGACAAGTAATGGGAGTTTGTAGGCTACGCAGATGGCGCTGCCAACCTTCATATGTGATGGAGCTTGGTGGGATGTTGCTGCCTTCATCCCTTAGCCAAGATGTCCCTAATAAAGGACAGGACCCAGAAACAACACACTTGGCCAAACTTCTGGCAGGCCTCTTAGCACTGGACACCCAGGTCAACAAATGGCCCTATCTTCACACTTATTATAAATTATTGGGCCATAACCTAAAAATTGTCCCCTATAAAGTAAAAAAAAAAAACAAAAAAAAAAAACAAACTCTCAGAATTTCTTGCCTTGCACACACCCAAAATATAAATCAAAATCATATAGGTCTCCACATACACTAAGGCCACACTACAAGCACAGGCCAGAACACTCCTTATTCCCCTTCGAGTTACAGACATTACTGATAATACCAAGACACACACTTCACTCTTTAAAATACACACTGCTGGGCTCTTGAAAAAGAAATTCACTAGAACTTTCATGTCCCTGATAGGTGTCTGATAACCAGTTTAACTGAAAGACATAATGACCTCAAACAACTCCTTTCAAATTCCAGTTCAACAAATAAACCCCCAAATAAATTTCCAATTTTCCCTAGATCTTAGCTTATCTTTATAAATTTTCTTTTTTTCTTTTTTTTTTGTTGAGATGGAGACTTGCTCTGTCACCCAGGCTGGAGTGCAGTGGTGTGTTCTCAACTCACTGCAGCCTCCACCTCCTGGGTTCAAGTGATTCTCCTGCCTCAGCCTCCTGAGTAGCTGAGATTACAGGCACGTGCCACCATGTCTAACTAATTTTTGTATTTTTAGTAGAAATGGGGTTTCGCCATGTTGGCCAGGCTGGTCTCAAACTCCTGACCTCAGGCGATCTGCCTGCCTCAGCCTCTCAAAGTGGTGGGATCACAGGCGTGAGCCACTGCTCCTGGCCTTATCTTTACAAATTTTCAATCTCACCCCCATCCTCTAAGGGCTGGAGGCCAGCAGTAGGGCACTCTTGTCCTGGAACTCATTCACTATAGATTATCCTGCAGGCCAGGCCGCTGCTTATCAGATATGGGGCCTGTTCAAACTTAAACTTCCACCCAAAACAAAAATTCCTTTCAGGCGCAGATATACACCATTCTACTAAATGGTGGTCTTATTACTATTGGTTTTGGTGCTTTCATTGATTTATCCAGAGGCCCAAATCCTCTAGTAAGCTACTGTTCCAACCAAACATGGCAAATTCTGAAGCCCACATCAGTTCAAGCAGGTGTACAAAGTAGAGAGCAGAGAAGCTTTTTTTCCTGTAATGCACGATGGTGCTGCTCACACAGCAACTGAAAAAAGTTTATATGGAATCAGACTTGTCAGTAGCAGAAATTTTGAGACCAAAGTGAACTCTACTTAGGACTCCAGGAAGTAGAGAATATCATTTATTCACAATAGTACTTTATATTCAGTGGCCAGACTCATTTTTAACAGTGCTTTTCAGAATTAAGCGTTTCCTTGGGAATAAAAAGGGAGATTCACAGGCTTTGACAAGCAGCCTCCCACGGGCTTCTAATGTCTGATCAGAGATAAAAACTGTGAAGCATACTTTGTCATAAAATATCTGTCAGACTATGATTTTTATGAGATAATTTCAATGGGCCTTAAGATGTAGAACTAAGACATCTTTTTTTTTTTTTTTTTTTTTTTGAGATGCAGTCTCGCTCTGTCACCCAGGCTGGAGTGCAATGGTGTGATCTCAGCTCACTGCAACCTCTGCCTCCCAAGTTCAAGCAATTCTCCTGCCTCAGCCTCCCAAGTAGCTGGGACTACAGGTGCCTGTCACTACACTGGGCTAATTTTTGTATTTTTAGTAGAGACAGGGTTTCACCACGTTGGTCAGTCTGGGCTCAAACTTCCGACCTCAGGTGATCCACCTGCCTCAGCCTCCCAAAGTGCTAGGATTACAGGTGTGAGCCACCGCACCCAGCCCCCTGAATTCTTTCTTGTGTGAGACCCAAGAACCCTCTCGGGATCTGGATCAGGACCCCTTTCCAGTAACACTTGGACACGGACACAATGCAGCCCAGCCCTTTGCTAGGGCATAACACAGGTGACTTTACTCAATTCCCAATAACTCCACATTTCCCTCTGAGACCTTGTCAGCCTGGCCTTCACTGCTGATATTTCTATCAGCATGTTGGTCACAACCATCTCACAGTCTCTAAGAAGTTTCAAACTCTCTATCATCTTCCTATCTTCTTCTGAGCCCTCCAAACTCCTTCAATCTCTGCCCATTACCCAGTTCCAAAGCCACTTCCACATCTTCAGGCATCTTTATAGCAACACCCCACTCTTGGTATCAATTTTCTGTTTAGTCCATTTGGGGTTGCTATAAAGAAGTACCTGAGACTGGGTAATTTATAAAGAAAAGAGGTTTAATTGACTCACAGTTTTGTGGGCTGTACAAGAAGAATGACGCTGGCATCTGCTCAGCTTCTGGTGAGGTCCCAGGGAGCTTACAATTGTGGCAGAAGGCTAAGCAGGAGCAGACATGTCACGTGGCAAGAGAGGGAACAAGGGGATGGGGGAGGTGTCACACTCTCTTAAACAACCAGGTATCTCAAGAACTCACTCATTATCATGAGAATGTCACTAAGCCATTTATGAGGGATTCACCCCTGTGATTCAACACCTCCCACTAGGCCCCTTTTCCAACATTGGGGATTACATTTCAACATGAGATTTGAGGGGACAAACATCCGAGCCATGTCACCTGCTCCTGCCTGTAAGTAATGAGTAATAATGAGACATCCAAGGCCTTGGAATATAGTCCATTTCAGTCTGACCAGTAGTTCCTATTCTGGGGAGTGATAATGACCATGGTCACCCCTCTTACCCTACTAAGGTTGGCAATTTATGGTTCCCAGGGAGGACGTGGACTTTCTAGGACCCATCCAACATAGGGAGGGGAGTTTTGGCAGCACTCAACTAAGACGGCAGGCAGCAGCACACAGCAATAGGGGGTCTTCCCACATGGTGTCAGCCACACGGGAGAGCCAGTTAGTAAGCCAAGAGCAGGCTAAAGCTATGTTGCTGTGTCCCTCACAGTTGTGACCACACACCCTACTCACTGTACCAATAGTACTTTCCTCTCATTTGATCTTTTTGTGGGATTTGGTCCTGAAAAAGATCTTTCCCAGGAGAGTAGCTATAAAGTCTAGCCCTGCCCTGACAGGGCTCCAGGGAGGTGGTTGTGGATGTTTACAGTATGCTTCACAGAATACTTCTTTATCTATCCTGGCCTAATGCCTACATTTCCAACCTGTGACCAGGTGTACCTCTCACAGGAAGCTTGTTTACACTGGCAGATACCCTTGTGGCTTGTGTCTGACCTGTGTCCAGTTTATTCTTACCAAGAGAGCCACTCTCTAGGAGAGCTCCGACTATAAGGAGAGTTAGGTTCAGGTGTGTTGGTCAGGTGAGACATAGAGGAAGTGGGCACACCAAAACACATGAAATAACCAAAGCATTTTATTACTCACAGATCCATGAGAGAAAAGCAGTGCCCATGAGGGCTGACAGAAAGTCCAGTAACAGTATGGGATTCAGCCAGCAGATGGAAGAAAGACAGAGAACCCCTTATCTGTACACATAAGGGGTTGTACATACCTGCATTATAGCAGGTATGTACTATATTTGCGGAAATGCAAAGACTCAGTAAATCCTACTTCAAGATTGGTGGGGACCATGACAGGGGCAGAGACAACTGCTGTTCTGTGGTAAGCAGGTCTATGCAAACCTACCCCCAAAGGCCAAGGGTGCTGAGAGGCCAAAGAAAGAAGCAGACAAATTTAGTTTCTCAGAAAGAAATATTTAATAGGGACTTACCAGTGGGAGCCATTTCTCTGGTGGCCACAAGATGGTGGATCCCCACACCCATCCTGCAGAAAGTATTCTTTATATAGCAAGCTTTTAGGGTAAAACATGTGCAGCTAGTTATGCCTCAGACTTCCTTGTGAAATTCGTGACCGCTGGGCAGGTTAGGCAAACATCCTTATGAGGGGTTATCCATGCTACAGGCATTGTTTAAAGAACACTTTGGTATGTGGGGTCAAACATCAATCATCACGGCGGTTTCACTTCAAGATGGCATCACTCTTGCCATACAACAGGCTGTTTTCCTACAGCCACTAATTGGTTAAATATATAAGGAGTTAGGGAAATTCTCAGGAAGGAGGTAAGGAAGGTTGGAATGGGTAAAGTGAGAATATCATCAAAAATAGTGAGTGTGGGTCATGCCCATAATTTCAGCTATTTAGGAGGCTGAGGCAGAAGGATTGCTTGAGGCCAGGAGTTCAAGACCAGCCTGAGCAACATAGCAAGGTCCTATCTCTAAAAAAAAAAAAAAAAAAAAAAAAAGTTTTTAATTAGCTAAGTGTGGTGGCTCACATTTAATTCCAGTTACTTGGGAGGCTGAGGCAGGAGGATTTCTTGAGCCCAGGAGTTTGAGGTTGCAACCTGGATGACAGAGTGAGACACTGTCTTTTAAAAATAAAGTGAGCAGTTTTACTATGGAGATGAATGACAGTAGGTACCTGGCAAAAGTATTAATATTCGCCTAGTCCTGGGGACCTTCAACAGGATGACTTAATTGAATGGGATGGCTATCATGGTGAGGAACGGCTGTCATGGTGAGGATTTCAAGTCTCATATCAAACTAGAATGGCAAAAATTGGAGGGCAAATGGATCTTTCAGTATCTCTTAAATTATACCACATACACAGATGGTAGATAAATAAAGGGAGGTTAATAAGGGAAATGCCTTTAGCCATATATATGGTAAACACTTACTAGGCATTCAAACATGAACAAACCTAGATCCCAGTTTTAAGAACCATATATTACATATCCATCCCTTTTCATTTTGTTTTATTCTCATATTAGAGTGTAGCTGCGGCTGGGCACTGTGGCTCATGCCTGTAATCCCAGCACTTTGGGAAGCCAAGGCGGGTGGATCATTTGAGGTCAGGAGTTTGAGACCAGCCTGACCAGCATGGTGAAATCCCATCTCTACTAAAAATACAAGAATTAGCTGGGCGGTAGTGGCATGCACCTGTAGTCCCAACTACTTGGGAGACTGAGGCAGGAGAATCATTTGAACCCAGGAGGCAGAGGTTGCAGTGAGCCGAGATCACGCCACTGCACTCCAGTCTGGGCAACAGAGTGAGACCCTGTCTCAACAACAACAACAACAAAAAGAGTGTAGCTGATAAATAGCTACTAAAATGCTCTCCAATGTGACCAAATTACTATACTCTATAGCAGGCCAGTCCCTTAGCTAAATTATAACTGACTCTTTCCTTTGAGCTCTGAATACGTGTGACCCAATCATGCTCTGAACAGTTTATATGCACAAGGATGATTACAATAATTGCATTTACTGTAAAACAGGTACACCCTGTCGAAACTTATTTAATTCCGAATTACATTCCAGCCATTTTGTGTGTCCCTTCCAAAATAGAAGAAATAACATTCCAACTCTCATTAGGTCAGCAATGAAGATATTGAATTAAATCAGAATAGTGAGCAAGACAGTTTCAAGGAGCTCTCATTTAAAAAGGAAATTAGATGTTAAGCTGAGGAAAGGGGGAGGAAAATTAGTTCAAAAGACACTTGAGTTATGATAGCTCCAATATAGTACCATAATGACAGATTTCTAACCCATGATTAATTTAATCAGTCACATGATTAACCTGCCAGTTATGTCAAAATGAATTGGCCTGAATAATGAATTCTGAAAATAGTTCCAGCAGATGTGAAAGCAATTACGGACGGGGGTAAAGGAGGAAGGGAGGAGAGATTAGTTGAGAGAAAGGCCAGGGCCCGTGGATGGGAAGTAGAATTCTATTCACATGCCATTTCACTGGCATTACTTCAGCACCATGGACTCTTCGACATAGCCTCAATTCAATGTGCCTCATAAAGTAAGAAGTACCTCTAACTCCCAGCAAGTCGTTGCTTGTTCAGATTTGGAACCAGTTGTTTATAAATGCAAAATTAGCAGTCATTTATCTATATGCTGTGATTTTAAAGATACTGGAAGGTCCATTTGCCCCTAAATGTTTGCATTTCCAGCTTGACATAGGGTCTGACATTCTCACTATAATAACCCTTCCATTAAATTATATCATTCTCCAAAAAGTCTCTGGAAAAATGTAAATATTAGTACTTCTGCCTAGTACCTACTACCAGACCACCTTGTTGCCTACTGCCTAGATATCCTTCTACAGAGCACTACTGAATCTTTCCCAGTTGTCCAAGATAACTTTATGCATTTGTAAAGCCTACAGATCCTGGCTGGTCTGCAAATGACTAAGACAAAATAGTATGCATATTGTTAAATATGTGACTCCTGACAGAGATAAGTAAAACAGGTTCCCAGTCCTCCTAGCTCTTTTAAAAATTAAAGGTAAGACTGTTTGTGAATAATCAAATCTTGCAGGAATGAAAATGAAGAAACTACAACTATATGTAAAAACATAGATGACTCCCACAAACAAATGTACAAAAGAAGCCAGAAATAAAAAGAGTACAACTGTACAATTCCATTAATATAAACTTCAGAAATGGGCAAAACTAAACTATAGCATTAGAAGGTCAAATTTGGGCGGGGGGTGCGGGTAAAGAAATGTAAATTGGGATGAGACAAAAGGGGCTTCTGGTGTCCTGGCAATGTTCTATTTATTGAACCAAGTCATAGTTATCTAGGTATTTACTGTGTTACAATTGACTGATAATTCATTTTCGCTTCATGTACTTTCTCTCTCTCTCTCTGTCTGTCTCCCTCTCCCCCCTTTTTTGAGATAGGTTCTTGCTCTGTCGCCTTGGCTAGAGTGCAGTGGCACAATCATGGTTCACTGCAGCCTCGACCTCTCGAGCTAAAAGTGATTCTCCCATCTCAGCCTCCTGAGTAGCTGGGACTACAGGCATGCACCATGATGCTTGGCAAATTTTTGTATTTTTTTGTAGAGATGGGGTTTCGCCATGTTGCCCAGGCTGGTCTCAAACTCCTGAGCTCAAGCAATCTGCCCACCTTGGCCTCCCAAAGTGCTGGGACTACAGGTGTGAGCCTGGCCTGTACTTTTCTTTATATGTAATATATTTCATCTAAAATCATTTTTAAAAGAAGCAATTGTTAAGTCAATTTCATACATGGAATCTCAAGAGGTCACAAATAACCAAAACAAATCTTTAAAAAGAAAAACAAAGTTTGAGATCTCACACTTTCTGATTTCAGAACTTACTACAAAACTACAGTAAGCAAAGCAGTGTGGTACTAGCATAAAGATAGACATATAGACCAATGGAATAGAAAAGAGATCCCAGAAATAAACCCTTGCATATATAGTCAAATGATTTTCAACAAGGATGCCAAGATCATTCAATGGGGAAAAGACAGTCTTTTCAACTAAATGCTGCTGGGAAAACCAGATATTCACATGCAAAAATTAAAAAAAAAATGAAGTTGGACTCTTACTTTAGACCATATGTAAAAATTATCTCAAACTAGATCAAAGACTTAAATGTAAGAGCTAAAGTTATAAAACTCATAGAAGAAAATTTTGTGTCATTGATTTTGGAAATGATTTCTTGGATATGATGACAAAAATTCAGGCAACAACAACAAAACCAGATTAAGTTGGACTGTACATATAAAACTTCTGTGCATCAAAGGACATGATTAACAGAGTTAAAAGGCAAACCACAGAATAAGAGGAAATATCTGCAACTGACATATCTGATAAGGAGTTGATATCCATAATAAATGAAGAACCCCTGCAACTCAACAACAACAAAAAACCGTGCTTTTTAAAATGAGTGAAGGGTTTGAATGGATATTTCTCCAAAGAAGATATACAAATGGCCAACAAGCACAAAAAGGATGTTCAACATCACTAATCATTAGGGAAATGTAAATCAAAACCACAGTGAGATACCTCATATCGTTTAGGATGGCTACTATTTTTTAAAAAACAAAATGGTTATCATAGGTGAGGATATGGAGAAATTGGAACCCTGTGCATTGTTGGTGGATAAAATGGTGGAGCTGCTGTGAGAAATGCTGTGTTAATTTCTTTAAAAATTAAAAATGGAATTACCATCTGATCAAGCAACTCCACTTCTGGTATGTACCCAGGAGAGAGGAAAGCAGGGACTTGAACAGATATTTATATTCCTATGTTTGTCACAGTATTATTCACAATAGCCAAAAGGTGGAGGCAAGAAAAGTGTCCATCTACAATGTGATGAGAAGGCATAGTATTCAGCCTTAACAAGGAAGGAAATTCTGAGACATGCTACAACATAGACGAAACTTCAGGATGTTATGCTAAGTGAAATAAGCCAGTCCCAGAGGGACAAATGCTGTATAGTACCACTTATATAAGGAAACTTGGAAAGTCAAATGCACAAAGAAAATAGAATGGTGATTACTAGATCCTGGGAAGAGGCAGAGAATGGAGAATGATTGTTTAATGGGTACAAATTTTCAGTTAGGGAAGACGATAAAGTTTTGGTGATGGATAGTGGTGATGGCTATGCAACAATGTAGTTATGTACGGAATGTACTTAATGCTACTGAACTGTAAACTTAAAAATGGTTCAAATGGTATAGATATATAGATTTTTGGGGGGTGAGATGGGGTCTTGCTCTGTCACCCGGACTGGAGTGCAGTGGCACAATCACGGCTCATTGCAGCCTTGATCTCCAGCCTCCAGGCTTAAGCAACCCACATACCTCAGCCTCCTGAGTAGCTGGGACCACAGGCGTGCACCACCATGCCCAGCTAATTTTCTGTAGAAACAGAGTTTTGCCATGTTGTCCAGGCTGGTCTCAAGCCCTTGGGCTCAAGCAGTCCTGCTGCCTCGGCCTCCCAAAGTGCTGGGATTATAGGCATGAGCCACCATGCCTGGCCAGTAAATTTTATGTTATGCATATTTTACCACTTTTTTTTTTTAAAAAAGGCAACTACAACAAAGCATGGCCCTGGAAAAGAAGCTGTACTCTATGCCAGCAGTTCACAAAAGTAAATGAGGACACTAGACTAGTGCCTGGCTAGCTGTTTGGGAATTATTTTGGGAGCTTGGCTAAAATCCAAACTCTGGGACCCACATCAATATTCTAACTCAAAATATCTAGAATGAGTGGGGCCTGAGCATTTTCTTATGTTCCTTTGGCAATTCTAATATGCAGCCTGCGTTGAAGGCTGTTATTCTGCAATTTCATCATATCAGATTTAGAGGCAAAAATGTGATTATCTATTTTTTGTTTATAACTGACTCAATCCCAGAAGTACTAATTTTATATGATGAAATATAGACTTTTGGTTATGCTTTTATATGACACTATGTTAATATTGAGGAAAAGCCCAAAGTCTATTAAATCAAGGTCTGAAATCTTGGCTTCACTGACAGTTTTTTAAAATAATTGATTAATGTAAATATTTGAAAATTATGTTTTTAGATATATTTTAACAACTCTGTTAACTTTGTGTTGAAACTTCTCAGAGGTCCATGAAATACTTTCTAAGCTATCAGAGAAATGTCATCTCACATTTTATCTTGGCAAATGCTGGCATTCTAGAAATGTCTGGTTCTTTGGTCATAGGCATATCATAGTTTATATTGTAAGTCAGCTTCCACCTGAAATAATCGGTGTCTTTTCAGTGAAAGCATTATACAGCAATTATATCCCATTTTATCTACAGATTAATTCATTATTAACAGCTTTATGATTTTACATTATTGATCAGTATCTTTCTGAAGCCAGGACATTTATTTAACTATATGTTAAATCAAGAGCTGAAAGATGTCTCTGGGCAATTCTTGGTAAATGTCGACACACGATAAAATGGAAACATTGACCTGAAATTGGAAGACCTAGTGTGTGAGATTGTGTGCCACCCAGGTCCTCTCTTCAAGACTAAGTACTCATGGCCTCAGCTGAATAAAAGGGACCTCAGCCAAAAGGTTATGCCTCTCCCAGGAGTCAGCCTGCATGCAATGACTGGGGGGCTCAGCCCCCTCATCTTTATCTGCACATCTCTGAAGATTCCTCCACCTTTAGCTGCCAGGCTAAGGCTGCATCAGAGTTCAATTTCTCTGCCCAATCCTGCTTCCCTCACTCCCAAGAACAAGCCTTAATAAATCATTTGCAATAGAATCTCCATCTCAGAGTCTGTTTCCAGGGAAACCAGACCTGCATCACTTCTATTGTCAACTAGTGATGTTGACCATAGTAAAGCCACTTAATCACCGCTCCCTCTGTAAATGAAGCAGTCTGAATGAATGGGCTTGGGGCCGCCAGGAATCTCCAATGCCACACTGAACAATGTTCTGCAGTGGCAGAGACCTGCCCTTGGGTATCACCTCCTGTGATCCAGTTCATACATTTCACAACCAATCCCTTTATATGGCAAGGTGGGGAAATTCTGTATCACTACCAGGTGCCTCTTTAAAATTCATCAGTTTCAAAGGTGCTTAGAGCCTGTCACTGTATAAAAAATTTTCTGGGATGAATATAGTCCTAGGTGATCAACTCATATCAGTTTACCCAGGACCTCCCTAATTTTAGCACTAATAGTCCCATGGCCCTGGAAGCCCCTAGTCCGATTGGTCACCCTACTGTAGCTTTATATGTCCCCTAGTCCCTTGGGCTTACAAAATTAGTTACTGGCCTTATGACTCTGGCTATCTGACCTGTACACAGGGCTGACTCTCAGTCCAAACCCACAAGTCTAGGTCAGATCTGCTTTACATTTTCGTGGCCCTCTCTATTTTTCCTGGGTAGGACTTATCACGCTGTAAGTATTGGTTATGTCATTATTTGTTTAATTTTTGTCTTCTCAACGAGACTGCAAGTGTCAAATGGACCTATGTGCCTTGTGCGTGGCTGTATCTTTTGTGCTTAGCAGGGAGCCTGGCACATAAGCAATGATCAATAAATATTTGCTGAATAAATGAATGAAGAGAGAAGGAAGCAGGAGGGTAATGCCTGGGACTCACTCAGAGGATTAAAGACTAGGAAAGGATAAAGCGCAAGTTGGTCAGAATGAAAGTAGATGAATAAGGGATGGAGGACTGTATATATGTGCATCCAATCTTGTGCCATGTTTCCATTTTCTTGTATCATTATCACTATGTTGCTAAACTACTGTTAAGCTTTTGGTTAATTCCAACACACAGATTTGACACGTATTTACAATTTTTTCTCAGAGCAATTATTCTGTGCTTTGAATAGAGCAGACCCTCAAATTTATTTTTAAAAAGTGTTGTCTGAACAAGCAAGATGTGTCACCATGTTGAAGGTCACTGCATCAGATAACTTCCCTGACAAGAAGCTTTTAAGTTCTTAGGATCATAGCACTTTTTCTTAGCAGAGATTTGATCAAACTTCCCAATTATTCTTCACAGCAAGACAACTGCATATCTTGGTTCCCTCAAAGCAGTAGTATCTATGGATATCTATTTTTTCTCACTGGCTACTACTAACACATAAAGCGAGTCCTTCACTATCACCTGAAGACACACTGGAATTCTCTTTTTGCATATCCTCATGACGATTTTAAAAACCTTTTTAGTATAACTCTCCACTCACATAACAACTTCTTAATCTTGTTCTTGCTTAAACTGAAACTGGCCTCAATCAAAATGTGTCCTTAAAAAATATAGAACTTCGCCAGGCGCGGTGGCTCACATCTGTAATCCCAGCACTTTGGGAGGCCGACACAGGTGGATGACGAGATCAGGAGTTCGAGACCACCCTGACCAACATGGTGAAATCCCGTCTCTACTAAAAATTAAAAATTAGTCAGGCGTGGTGGCATGCACCTGTAATCCCAGCTACTTAGGAGGCTGAGGCAGGAGAATGGCTTGAACCCGGGAGCCGGAGGTTGCACTGAGATGAGATCACACCACTACACTCCAGCCTGGGCAACAGAGCAAGACTCCCTCTCAAAAAAAAAAAAATTATATAGTTATATATATATATATATATATAGTTGCTTATCAATAAATGTTACCCATTTCCAATAGCAAGTAATAGAAACAGAATTCATATTGAAAATGCTCTCCTTTTAGATTCCAATATAATAATGATTAATTTTGGAATGTGAAAATGCACTTTCCCAGTATGAAATACCATAATTGATTTCTGCCTTTTTCTCTGTTCTTATAGGTGACTTATATCCTTGGAACTTCTACAGTTCTATAGAAGCTGAATAACTTCATTTTTCAAGCTGAAAGATTATGTTTTATCTCATCAACCTATTTCTTACCAACTATAAAATATTTATAAAATTCCACTGATGAATTTGTTGCTCTAGCTTGTAAGATAAACCATATGAACTAAGTGATATAAGTAAATAAGTAAACAAGCCACATGATAAACAGATAATTGGTAGATTAAACAATTCAAATACTCTTTGTCCAAGCCTAATTTCAATGAAAAATTGTGATGTTTGCAGCTCCCAACCTCCTCAGGGTTCCTTGACTGAGATGATGAAGGCTTAAGCTCCTAGGAGAACAACATGCTGCAAGTCAGCAGCTCTCAAAGGATGACCTGTGGACTGTTGGGAATCTGGAAGACCCTTTCAGGGAGTCCATGAGATAAAAAATTAATTTTATAATATTACTAAGACATAATTTGGGGGTTCTGCTTCCGCCTCCCACCATGTTAACACTTCTATTGATATCACAAAGCAATAGCGAATAAAACTGCTGCCCCTCAGTACATCTCAAGATAGTGGCACCAAACTATGCTAGTGGTCCTCATATTCTTTACCAACATGTACTTACTGGAGGGGGAAAAGGTCAGTTTCACTTAATAGTGCCCTTGATAAAAGCAAAAAAAAAATTGTTAATTTTGTTAAATCTGAACTGTTGGGAACATGTCTTTTAAAATATTCTGTAAGATGAAATGGAAAATACGCAGAAGGAACTTCTACTGCATGCTAAAATAAAATAGTTTTGTCTCTAGGAAGAGCATTTGTGCAGTTGATTCGCGAGCTGAACTAGCTGCTTTTTCACATAACACTATTTTTACTAGAAAGAACAACTGACAGGCACAATGCTAATTCAGATTTGGGTATTTGGCAGACATTTTATTGAAAATGAACACAGTGAGACTTCAACTTCAAGGAAAACAGCTGACAATTTTGTTACTAATGATAAAATGCTGGCTTTAAAGTAAACACTAAGATTTTGGAAAACTTGTATCCGACACTAAGTACATAACAGTTTACCCATACTTAAAGACTTTTATGATTAAATTGGTAATAATATAACAAATGTGCTTTTTTGATATTGTATAATGAAATGTGCCAACATTTGAAAGATCTGCACAACTCAGGGAAAGGGTACTTTCCAGACAACTAATGCATAATGTTACAAAATCATGCATGGGTAAAAGATCCATTCAAAGTGCAAATTAGACCAATGGATTTGAATGTAAGAAAGTATAAAAAGATCACTAGCATGGGGCCAGGTGCAGTGGCTCATGCCTGTAATCCCAGCACTTTGGGAGGCCGAGGCAGGTGGATCACCTGAGGTCAGGAGTTCGAGACCAGCCGGGCCAACATGGTGAAACCCCATCTTTACTAAAAAGACAAAAATTAGCTGGGCATGGTGGCGAGCACCCATAATCCTGGCTACTCGGGAGGCTGAGGCAGGAGAATTGCTTGAACCTGGAAGGTGGAGGTTACAGTGAGACGAGATCACACCACTGCACTCTAGCCTGGGCAGCAGAGCAAGACTGCATCTCAAAAAAAAAAAAAAAAAAAAAAGATCACTGGTATGGTTTTACATTCCACATTGCAACTAATCTTTAAGAAACTACCACTTACCAAATTTTGGTGAAATTTCAAAGAACAAGATCAATAATTATCTGACAAGCTATTAAAATACTCCTTGTTCATTCTAATTTATATCTCTATGAAGCCAAATTTTCTTTATAGTTATATAGAAGCCACATTTTACAACAGATTGAATGCAGAGGAAGATATAAGAATCCAACAGTCTTCTATTAAATCGAACACTAGAATTTTTTTTTAATGTCAAACAATGTCACTCTTCCCACTAATTTTTTGTTTTGGAAAATATAATTCTCTTTTATTTAAAATGTGTTATTTGTGTTAGCATATACTAGGATTATTGTTGCTGTTTTTAATTGAATTAATAAGTAAAAATGTTAAACCTTTCTTAGTTTTAATTTCTAATGCAATACATATCAATAGATGTAACCCAAAAGTTCTTTGGGATCCTTAGTAATTTTGAAGAGTGTGAGACATCCTGAGCTCAGAAAGCTTGAGAACTTCTACTTGAGATGCTAATGTACTTATTTTGCCCAAGCCAGTTTGAGTCTGTTTTTTGCCATTTGCAACAAAAGTCAGAACTGATATAGGGGAAGAGGAAAGGAGCTGAGTTCCAAGTTTAGGAACATTCCAATGCCAAGATAAAGAATCAGCCTCAATATTCAGAACAAACAACAAGAATTCAGTGAACGCAAAATATAGGAACCAGAGGTGATTGTGATAATTTAAGCCTTCCTTGCTCTCCCAACTCAAGGATCTATAAAAACACTGGAAACCAAGAGGTCAATTTGATCAGGTCTGCCTGCCCTTCTTGCTTGTGTTCACTTGCTTTTTGTGTTTTGGGTGTTTTTTTGTTTGTTTTTTGTTTTCTTTTTCCACGAAGCTGGAGGCCTTGCCACTGAATGTCAAAACTTAACCTTCACTGGCTACTTTAGAGGTAACATTCATAGATCACCATAGGAATGGCCGCTTCAGCTGTTTTTCAGAAACTTGGGCCAGCTCCTGTCCAGTTCAAACTAGTGGAGACCACCAGCCCCTCAACTGGGCCTGTGCAAGTGCCTGAGGGGTGGTTTTTTGACATCAGAAGGCCGAAAACTTCACCCTTAGATTATGGTAACACCACCATTTTCTGTACATATGTCCTACAAAATGCCATGAACTTCAGCTACATTTGTACAGAATAAACCTGTTGCTTCATTTTTCCCCACTACCAATCACCTTTCTCCACACCTTAGACCACCCACTTCCCTAATGCATAAACATCCCTAAGCCTTATATTTGGGGAGGTGGATTTGAGAGCTGTTCTCCTGTCTCTTCAATCAGTGCCCTTGCAAATAAGTCTTTTCTCTTTTGTAAAACTCATGTCACAGTGATTGATTTACTACTCACAGGCAGAACAGACTTGGACTTGCTGGAAATATATTGAGGGCATTTTGGACTTTCTACCAGATTCAGAATTGAGATCTATTCAAAATATTAAGAGGAACAATGATTCAAATTGACATCTGGGTAACACATTGTTCAAATAAAAATTTTTTACCTATAGAAATTTGATTTCAAGAAATTATACCCAAAAGTCCATCACTGATGGACAAACCAAAGGGGGTATAGCTGCACATTGCAATATTATTTGACCATGAAAAAGAATGAAGTACTGATTCATGCCACAACATTCATGGATGAACCTTGAGAACATAATGATACGTGAAAGAAACTGGGCCAAAGAGCAACATATTTTATGATTGCTTTTATTTATTTATTTATCTGTCGAGATGGAATCTCACTCTGTTGCTCAGGCTGGAGTGCAGTGGTGCAATTTTGGCTCACTGCAACCTCCACCTCCCAGATTCAAGTGATTCTCCTGCCTCAGCCTTCCTAGTAGCTGGGATTAAAGGTGCCCACCACCACACCTGGCTATTTTTGTATTTTTAGTAGAGATGGGGTTTCACCACATTGGTCAGGCTGGTCTCAAACTCCTGACCTCAGGTGATCCACCTGCCTCAGCCTCCCAAAGTGCTGGGATTACAGGCATGAGCCACCGCACCCAGCAAATTGCCTTTATATGAAAGGTCAGAACAGGCAAATTCATAGAGACTTAACATGGACTTGTGATTGCTAGGAAGCAGAGTGAGAGGAGATGCTGAGCGACTGCTGTGGGGGATGGGGTTTCTTTTAGGGATGATGAAAATGTTCTGGAATTAGATAGTGGTAATGGTTGTACAACTTGTGACTACATTAAAAATCAATTATACACTTTAAAGTGGTGAATTTTATAATATGTAAATAATGTCTGAGCTTTTAAAATTACATAAAATAAATTATAAACTCGGTGTACTAGTTTCCATGGCTGCTGTAACAAACAACTATAAAGGTGTAACCTGTGGCTTAAAACAACAGAAATGTATTCTCTCACAGTTCTGAGGCCAAAAGTCTGAAATCGAGGTGTCAGCAGAGCTCCACTCCCTCTGGAAGCTCTATGAGAGATTCTATTCCTTGCCTGACAGCTTTGGTGGCTGCTGGCATTCCTTAGTCACATTACTCCAATCTCTGCCTCTGTCCTCACATTGCCTTCTTGTGCGTGCGTGCGTGCGTGCGTGCGTGTGTGTGTGTGTGTGTGTGTGTGTCCCCTTTGTCTCTGCCTCTTTCTTTTTCTTTTTCTTTTTTTTTTTTTTGAGACGGAGTCTTGCTCTGTCGCCCAGGCTGGAGTGCAGTGGCGCGATCTCGGCTCACTGCAAGCTCCGCCTCCCGGGTTCACGCCATTCTCCTGCCTCAGCCTCCCGAGTAGCTGGGACCACAGGCGCCCGCCACCACGCCCAGCTAATTTTTCGTATTTTTAGTAGAGACGGGGTTTCACCGTGTTAGCCAGGATGGTCTCCATCTCCTGACCTCGTGATCCGCCCGCCTCAGCCTCCCGAAGTTCTGGGATTACAGGCATGAGCCACCGCACCTGGCCGCCTCTGCCTCTTTCTAGTAAAGACACTTGTAGCATTTAGGGACCATCAAGATCATCTCATCTCAAGGTCCTCAACTGAATCATATCTGCAAAGACCCATTTTCCAAATATTCACAGGTTCTAGTGATTCTGAGGTGGACATATCTTTGAGAGTCATTATCAACCTACCACACCTGGGTTTAGAGATAAATAACTGATGTGGTATGGCAGCCATCCATGCGTGCCACTTGGATTTTCCTTCAAGAAATAACTTGCCTCTCACTCACAAGTGGGAGTTGAACAATGAGAACACACGGACACAGGGAGGGGAACATCACATACTGGGGCTTGTCGGGGGGTTGGGGGCAAGGTAGGGGAGAGCATTAGGACAAATACTTAATGCATGCGGAGCTTAAAACCTAGATGACTGATAGGTGCAACAAACCACCATGGCACATGTGTATCTATGTTACAAACCTGCACAATCTGTACACGTATCCCAAAACTTAAAGTAAAATAAAAAAGGAAAAAAACAACAAAAACAAAAAACGAACTTGCCAATCAGCATGAAGCTGTATATTAGATGGCAGCCTCCAGCTATATCACCTTCAGGATATGCCACATCATTTGAGCTGAAGCCGCATTCTTCTCAAGCAGTCCCAAGCCAGTAACTGAGTCTGGCAGATATATGAGAAGCTAGTCATTCACCCAGCATGGAATTCATCTCCTGGCAGTCTTTACGCCAGAGCTCCCCATTGGCTTGGCTGAGATTTAGCTCTTCCTCCTTAATCTACCTCTCTTCTCCTTCTCCTTACCTGCCTATTCTTATTTCTTCTCCCTTTTATATTTCACCAGGTTACTCTCATGAATCTCTTGCATTGCCAACTTGGACTTGGCATCTTCTCCCTTAGAGAAACCAGACTTAATCATTGATAACTGAGAGTGGTCCCAGACAGCAGATAGCAAGATGGACCTCGGGGATTAGGTAACTCACTTCCTCACTAGAAATGATGACCCCATGCCCCAGTGGCATGACTAGTCTCTGGTAGAAGGTAGAGGTCTGTTTGCTAAACTTTTACCAATGGTGACTCAGGACAGTATTCCGGTGGAGGCAACTTCTCTGGCCAGTGCAATAATTCAGGCAGTTGAGGGTGGACGATGCATACAAGGACAATGGAATTGGCTGGTTGTTATTAATTTGTATTGATGCCATACAATAGGACAATGAGAAATTGAAGGCAGTTAACAAACATTTAAAAACTAAGTATGAGAGCCAAAGGACCTCTCTGGCAGCTTACAAAGAGGCCTTTATCTCCTGCAGTGAGAGAACAGACACAGCTGTGGAGCAAATTCAGGGTAGCCAAACTTCAAAGACAATGAAAACTCAGCCAAGGCAAGTCTGTTATGCTAAGATCAGGGCTTTGTTTAGAAACTATGGGACCCTGAATCATGGGATGTGAATGAATCCTCAAAGACTTTGGCTCTCAGAACCTGCTGAGGTTCCCTACCCCTCCCTATTAAGAGTTAGTGATTCTTCCACGAGGCCCTATTTTGAGTTAGCATTTCCCCTATGTGAAAAGACCCCTCCCCTGCAAGACAACTGATCTCCCTTCAGAAGCTGACCCCACTTCTCACCTGGCTTCCAGATTGATAACTAGGGTTAAATCTCAACTAAAACAACTGGCACATACTGGCAATGATAAGACATATTACATCCTAAAGGAGCTGCAAGGATTAGCTAGGATATACTAGCAGAAACCATTGAATTGGATTTTGAGTATGCCTGATCAACTGCTGTTTGTTTAAGAGTTTATTGACTTAGGAGCACTTTCTCAGAACATGGGACTTAACACCCTAGCAAGGGAATGGGACAAACTAACTGAAACGGTGGTTTTATTTTATTTTTTGAGATGGAGTTTCACTTTAGTCGCCCAGGCTGGAGTGCAATGGTGCAATCTCGACTCACTGCAATCTCTGCCTCCCGGGTTCAAGAGATTCTTCTGCCTCAGCCTCCTGAGTATCTGGGATAACAGGCATGCACCACCATGCCCAGCTAATTTTCACCATATTGGCCAGGCTGGTCTCGAACTCCTGACCTCAGGTGATCCACCCGCCTTGGCCTCCCAAAGTGCTGGGATTACAGGCGTGAGCCATCACACCTGGCCTAAGAGTGGTTTTAAAAACCTGGAGAAAGTGATGGCCCATGCTGAGTGGACTTGCAATGCATGAATTGCTATAACAAGCAGGGGCGAAATAATGACAATGCAGGGAAATAGGCATGGTGGAATGTATGTATTATGTAGGGCCAGAAGACCAATCAGAGGATTATGCTTCATAGGAGAACCTAGAAGACACCTCATTCACAGAGGCCATCAGAAATGCAGTGGTTAGAGAAGTACCAGCATCACTAAGGAATTCAGTGGTGATCCTCTTCCACAGTCCAGGGCTGACAAAAGGAGAAGCAATCTCAGAGAGTAGCTTGCTAATAGCAGTGGTGACAATGAGTCCCTGAAATAGTACAGGCCAGGTGGTGGTAGAAAACTGCCCAGCAGAAGTCCGCCATAAGGATAGAAAAGGGTACACCTGGGATCAGCCCAGGCAGAACAAGTAGCACGTGTGACCTGCCTGAGGCGGTAGCGCAGGCTCCCACTTCCTTCTTTAGCTTATACCTACTGGTCATACAGAGGGTCCCACATGACCAGCTGAAGTCAGAAGAGACAGCCTGAGCTTCATTTGTAAATGTGTTGGCTCTGTTTGTGTGTAAAAGCTGAAAATAAATGAGGCTGCTTTACAATCCCCTTCAGGACTGCCCTTGAAAAAGAGTAGGGAGAGACAATCTTTCCAATGACAGAAGCTTCACCAGGTACACTTGGTCATTCACTTTGTGTGGAAAGAGAGGTGATCTGACATAAGAATACATATGGAATCATGGGCAGTAATTAATGGCGCAGGAGGCTGGTCAAGGGCCTAGAAAGCAAATTCTGAGAGACTGATGCAAAGAATTCTGGAGTAGGGGCAAGTGGGTGGACGTATGGAGATGAGCACAAAGTGTAAATTGTTGTATCACACATTAATGCCCACCAGAAAGCATGTACCAGAGAAGAGGCAACAAGCAACCAAGTAGATAAAATGGCTCAGCCAGTTGACATTAGCCAGCCTTCATTATCCATCACTTAAGAACTGGAAAGGGCTGGGTGCGGTGGTTCACGCCTGTAATCCCAGCACTTTGGGAGGCCAAGGTAGGCAGATCACCTGAGGTCAGAAGTTCGAGAACAGCCTGACTAACAAGGTGAAATCCCATCTCTACTAAAAGTACAAAAATTAGCCAGGCATGGTGGCACATGCCTGTAGTCCCAGCTCATCAGGAAGCTGAGGCAGGGGAATCACTTGAACCCAGAGGTGGAGGTTGCAGTGAGCCAAGATCAGGCCACTGCACTCTAGCCTGAGTGACAAAGTGAGACTCCATCTCAAAAAATAAAATAAAATACAACTGAAACGACTGGCATGCAAATGGAGTAGTTACCCTGGCAAAGATGGGGAAACATATGGACCCAACAGCATAGACAACAGCATTTACTCGCCAGCGCTCATCTAGGTACTGTTATCACTGAATGTCTAATCTGCCAACAATAGACACCAATATTGAACCCATGAGATGGCACTGTTCCTCGAGGGGACCAACTAGCCATTTCTGGCCAAACTGACTACATTGGACCTCTTATGTCATGGAAGGACCATTGATTTGTTCTCTCAGGAATAAACACTTACTTCAAATAAGGGCTTGTCTTTCCTGCCTACACCTTTCCTGCCAGCACCATGATCTGGGGGCTTACAGAAGCTAATCTGCAGGCATGAAATCACGCACAACATAGCGTCCAACCTACTTTATAGCAAAGGAAGTAGAGTAGTGGGTCCATGACCATGGGATCCTCTGGTCATACCAGACACAATGCCATCCAAAATGCAACCAGGCTGCTAGAGCTGGCTGGCTGGTGAGATGACCTGCCAAGACCCAAGCTGAGGGGCAACACTGTAGCAAACCCTGAAGAAGCTGCTCCCGATATGTGTGTGGAGAAGTGGATCTGCTTGGCATCGGAGGACTGTGGTAACCACGAAGTGCACCTCGTGGATCTCCCTTCAAGAACTTGAAGTATAAGGGCTCAGCCCATGATCCTCCTGGATAGCCCCCAGCTAATGACTGAGCCATTGCTGCCCGAGATGGAACTCATCTATGGGAAATCTTTATACCGGAGCTTTCTGGTGGGCTGGCTGAGACTTTCTCAGACAGGCACCATAGTCTGTGGCTCTTCCCACACAACCCTCTTTCTTTCCCCCATCTCCTTTCATAGGCATCAGACTTGCACTGCATCTGAAGACTTCCTCTGCCTCCTCTCGTTCCTCCTTCTTTCTAGTTCCCAGGCAGTTTTGACAGGTGTCTTTCACAATACAGCTCTTGCATGTCTAACCCATCCCAGTGTCTCCTTCCTGGAGGGCCTAAACTGACACGTGATCGATTTTTCTTACCAGCCAATCTAATAAAATTAACTTATATTTCTTACTTCACCATCACCCCACCAATGGGCTTCTATATAACAACACACAATGAAGTACTCATTAAGGATCTCAATTTGTACTGTTAGCTACAATACCTGCAATAGGCCTAAAGTCACTAATTCATTCATTCAACAATTATTTATGAAGTATCTACTCTATTCTAGATACTCTGGTACGCAATGGGAATACAACAGGAACTAAAACACAAAAAAGTTCTTCTCTTCATGAAACTTACATTCTAATGAGACACACAGGCAGACAGACAATTAAAAAGATAGACCAGGCTGAATGCGGTAGCTCATGCCTGAAATCCCAGCACTTTGGGAGGCCGAGGCGGGAAGATCACTTGCGTCCAGGAGTTCAGGAAGAGCCTGGGCAACATAAGGAGACCCCTTCTCTATAAAAAGTAAAAAAAATTAGCCAGGCATGGTGGTGGGTACCCCTAGTGCTAGTCACTCGGGAGGCTGAGGTGGGAGGATTGCTTGAGCCTGGGAGATCCAGGCTGCAGTGAGCTATGATGGCGCCACTGGATTTCAGCCTGGGCGACAGAGTGAGACCCAGTCTCAAAAAAAAAAAAAAAAAAAAAAAAGACCAGCAGAAAGATGGAAAAGATGCATATCGCTTTTTATTCCTCAATGGATTTGCCTTTCACAGTATGACAGTGCAAACATCAGCCTCAGCTTTTTATTATGAACAAATAGAAGAAACAACCATATGTACAATCTCTGTTGCATTTTTTTTCGGTAGAATGACTAAAATGGAAAGTTATTAGAGAGTATTTTTAAATGAAATTCAATGAAGGAGGAAAAACAAACTGTCTTCTGCATAATAAGAAGCCAAAAGCTGTGTGGGAATTGACACCACAGAGTCAGAGGGAGAGGACACACACACACACACACGCACACACACACGAGAAGGCAATGTGAGGACAGAGGCAGAGATTGGAGTAATGTGGCCGAGGCATGCCAGCAGCCACCAAAGCTGTCAGGCAAGGAACAGACTCTCTCATAGAGCTTCCAGAGGGAGAAGAGGCCCGCCGACAACTTGATTTCAGATATTTGGCCTCAGAATTGTGAGAGGGTAAATTTCTGTTGTTTTACACCACAAGTTCCAAGTTGATGGTTGGTTGTTACAGCAGCCATGGAAACTAATATACCAAGTTTATAATTTATCTTATGTAATTTAAAAAACTCAGACATAATTTACATATAAAATTCACCCTTTTAAATGGTATAAGTAATTTTTAATGTAGTTACAAGTTGTACAACCATTACCACTATCTAATTCCAGAATATTTTTATCAACCCCCCAAAAAAACCCATTAGCAGTCACTGTCCATCTCCCTTTTCCTGTTTCCTAGCAATCACTGCTCTATGTCTTGAATTTGCCTGCTCTGAACCATTCATAGAAATGCAATCATACAAAATATTGCTTTTTGGTCTGGTTTCTTTAACTTAGCATCATGTTTTCAAGGTTCATTCATGTTGTAGCATGAGAGAAATTAACCCTTCCAGAATCCTTCAGTGTTAGGTATTTGAATTTTAATATATGTCAATTATATACATAATTTTATTTATGTATAATTTTTTTTTCAAGGCCAATTATAAAGAAAAAAGAAGTAAGCTGCCACACCAAGTCTATGGCCCTCAGTGAATCTCAGGAACTTCTTCTGTCCAACTTTGAAAATTAGGGGAAAAAGCAACAAAACAAAACTCATACCCTACAACAAAGTATGGAAAATTAAAAGCTATCTAAGAACCAGGATCTGGACTTAAAAGTCTGTGGGCTAATCCCACAGAGGAGGGGAGACCAGCCAGGTGAGAGAGTGGCCCCCCCAGGTCTGGGTTGAGAGGCCTCCCACACTGGGATCAGGGCCCCATAAAGCACAGAGCAGCAAGCAGGGCCAAGACCAAGGCCTGGTGGACAGATTCAATCAGAGGAGACACACGAGCCCTTTTTAGACTTAGACAATGTATTTCTTACCTAGAGAGAAGGTAGCCAAAAGTTCCAGCTCCCTGTGATCCTTGTCTCATACAACAAAAAGGATGACCCAAAACAAAGGGGGCCATATGATTGCCACGTGAGCTGTGGGACATCACATTGCTGAGAAGCTAATTCTAAACTTAAGGTAGGAAGTTTTATAGTCTGCAGCTGTAATCTAAGGCAGACTACTTCATACCTCACCAGAACCCAGGAGGCCATGAAAGACTCCAAAGAGATGGCCTTGGAGCCACTAATCACGGGCCTCGCTTTCTGTCATGTGCTGGGAGAATAAGGTGCTTCTGCCAAGACTCAGGTTAGCTGTAGTTCCAGCCTTTGCCTGCAGAGCCTATGTGGATATATCCAAGGTCGCCCAATGTGCCATACTGGAGCCATTCCCCTAGTGACCCCACAGGGAGCCTCTCATTAGGAATCTCATGTAAAGACAATAAACTTCTGGAGTTCTGTGTGTGCTTTCTTGCAAAGGACAGGAGGACACCGATTGTTCAACCAATCATACTCAGTAGGGACAGCCAGGGAGGCTAAGAATTCCTGATCTAGAGGTCATATGATTGTTAAACTGCACATAGTACCAGTTTAATTAATATTCTTTCCCACTTCCAAGACAAGGAAATTAGTGCCTGGGCTATAGGAATAATGACACCTAATAATACAGTCATGTGCCACAAAACAATGTTTTGGTCAAGAACAGACTGCATATATGATGGTGGTCCCATAAGATTATGATGGAGCTGAAAAATTCCTATCACCTAGTGACGTCATAGCCATCTCAATGTTGTAATGCGACATTACATTTTGTGTTTGTGATGATGCTCATGTAAAACTCATCATGCTGCCAGTCACATAAAACTATAGCACATACAATTATGCACAGTACATAACACCTGATAGTGGTAATAAGCGACTATGCTACTGGTTTATGTATTTACTGTGCTATACTTTTTATTGTTATTTTAATAGAATGTACTCCTTTTACTTAGGTTTTTTTTTGTTTTTGTTTTTTTCGAGACGTTGTCTCACTCTGTCACCCAGGCTAGAATGCAGTGGAGTGATCTTGGTTCACTGTAACCTCTGCCTCCTGGGTTCAAGAGATTCTCCTGCCTCAGCCTCCTGAGTAGCTGGGATTACGGGTGCACACCACCACACCCAGCTAATTTTTGTGTTTTTAGTAGAGGCAGGGTTTCACCATGTTGGCCAGGCTGGTCTCAAACTCCTGACCTCAAGCAATCTGCCCGCCTCAGCCTCCCAAAGTGCTGGGATTACAGGCTTGAGCCACGGCACCTGGCTCCTTTTATTTGTTAAAAGGTTAACTATAAAACAGCCTCAGACAAGTTCTTTAGAAGGTGTTTAAGAAGAAGGCATTTTTATCACAGGGATGACAGCTCCATGCCTGTTACTGCCCCGAAGACCTTCCATTGGGCAAGATGTGGAGGTGGCAGACAGTGATACTGAAGATCCTGACCCTGTGTAGGCCCAGGCTAATGTGTGTGTTTGTGACTTAGTTTTTACCAAAAAAAGTTAAAAGTTAAAAAAAAAGGAAATAGAAAAAAACTTATAGAGTATGAATATAAAAAAGAAAATATTTTTGTACAGCTATACAAAGTATTTAATAAGTGTGATTATAACATCAAAAAGGTTAAAAAATTGAAAAGCTTAGAAAGTAAAAACATTACGGTAAGCTAAGGTTATTATCAAAGAAAAATATTTTTTCATAAATTTAGTGTAGCTAAATGTAGGGTGTTTATAAAAGTCTACAGTAGTAAACAGTAATGTCATAGGCCTTCACATTCACTCATCACTCACTCACTCACCCAGAGCAATGTCTAAACTGCAAGTTCCATTTATGCTAAATGCCCTATACAGGTGTACTATTTTTTATATTTTATACCATATTTTCAATATTTTATACCATATTTATTTTGTTGGCAGTTTACTGATTCCACATATATGTTTTGAAAACTTACTATCAGCCAGATATTGAATCACACTGATATGGTTTGCCTCTGTATCCCCACCCAAATCTCATCTCAAATTGTAATCCCCATGTGTCGAGGGAGAGAGGTGATTGGATCATGGGGGTGGTTTCCCCCATGCTGTTCTTGTGATAGTGAGTTCTTACGAGATCTGATGGTTTTATAAGGCAGTTTTCCCTGCTCTTGCATGCTCTCTCACCTGCCACTATGTAAGATGTGCCTGCTTCCCCTTCCACCATGATTGTAAGTTTCCTGGGGCCTCCCCAGCCATGAAGAACTATGAGTCAATTAAATCTCTTTTCTTTATAAACAACCCAGTCTCAAGTGTGTCTTTACAGCAGTGTGAAAATGGACTAATACACACATGCTGGGTAGAAATTGGTGAGTAAACAAGGCACCATTCTCATGAAGTCTCTATGCTAGTAGGGAAGACAGGCACACAATAAATATATATACACAAGTGATGCTAAGTGGAAAGAAGGAAAACCATTTATTTCAGTAGGCATATTGACAGACACAAAAATGTAATGTACACAATAACTATTAACACCTTTAAGGAGTCTACATAACCTAGTGGACAAGGTTTACACATTTTTATTAAGAAATATATTTTAAAAAGCTTTTCAACTTTATAATTTTTATTTTATTTTTTCTTTTTTATTATTATACTCTAAGTTTTAGGGTACATGGGCTCAATGTGCAGGTTAGTTACATATGTATACATGTGACATGCTGGTGCGCTGCACCCACTAACTCGTCGTCTAGCATTAGGTATATCTCCCAATGCTATCCCTCCCCCCTCCCCCCACCCCACAACAGTCCCCAGAGTCTGATGTTCCCCTTCCTGTGTCCATGTGTTCTCATTGTTCAATTCCCACCTATGAGTGAGAATATGCGGTGTTTGGTTTTTTTGTTCTTGCCATAGTTTACTGAGAATGATGATTTCCAATTTCATCCATGTCCCTACAAATGACATGAACTCATCATTTTTTATGGCTGCATAGTATTCCATGGTGTATATGTGCCACATTTTCTTAATCCAGTCTATCATTGTTGGACATTTGGGTTGGTTCCAAGTCTTTGCTATTGTGAATAGTGCCACAATAAACATACGTGTGCATGTGTCTTTATAGCAGCATGATTTATAGTCCTTTGGGTATATACCCAGTAATGGGATGGCTGGGTCAAACGGTATTTCTAGTTCTAGATCCCTGAGGAATCGCCACACTAACTTCCACAATGGTTGAACTAGTTTACAGTCCCACCAACAGTGTAAAAGTGTTCCTATTTCTCCACATCCTCTCCAGCACCTGTTGTTTCCTGACTTTTTAATGATTGCCATTCTAACTGATGTGAGATGATATCTCATTGTGGTTTTGATTTGCATTCCTCTGATGGCCAGTGATGGTGAGCATTTTTTCATGTGTTTTTTGGCTGCATAAATGTCTTCTTTTGAGAAGTGTCTGTTCATGTCCTTCGCCCACTTTTTGATGGGGTTGTTTTTTTCTTGTAAATCGGTTTGAGTTCATTGTAGATTCTGGATATTAGCCCTTTGTCAGATGAGTAGGTTGCGAAAATTTTCTCCCATTTTGTAGGTTGCCTGTTCACTCTGATGGTAGTTTCTTTTGCTGTGCAGAAGCTCTTTAGTTTAATTAGATCCCATTTGTCAATTTTGGCTTTTGTTGCCATTGCTTTTGGTGTTTTAGACATGAAGTCCTTGCCCGTGCCTATGTCCTGAATGGTAATGCCTAGGTTTTCTTCTAGGGTTTTTATGGTTTTAGGTCTAACGTTTAAGTCTTTAATCCATCTTTAATTGATTTTTGTATAAGGTGTAAGGAAGGGATCCAGTTTCAGCTTTCTACATATGGGTAGCCAGTTTTCCCAGCACCATTTATTAAATAGGGAATCCTTTCCCCATTGCTTGTTTTTCTCAGGTTTGTCAAAGATCAGATAGTTGTAGATATGCGGGGTCTTTTTTCCAGTTTTTCTTTATTGATATTATCTATTTGGTTAAGCATTGTTCTCATATTTTAATTCTTTAGACCTGGTTTCCTTTAGACTTTATTTTTATGTATATATTAATATTTATAATTTTTTTGAGAGAGGATCTCACTCTGTTGTGCAGGTTGGAGTGCAGTGGTGCAATCACAGCTCACTGCAGCCTCAACTTCCTAGGCTCAAACGATCCTCCCACCTCAGCCAGCAGAGTACCTGGGACCACAGGCATGCATGATGGGGTTTCACCATGTTGCCCAGGCTGGTCTTGAACTCCTAGGCTCAAAGCAATCCACCCACCTCAGCCTCCCAAAGTACTGGGATTACAGGCATGAGTCACTGCACCTAGTCTACAATATTTTTATATTTATCCTATAAATAACGTATATTTAATAGCTGGTTTAAAGTATTTGTAAGACCAACAATTAGACCTCTCAGGGATAGTTTCTATTGACAGTTCTTTTCCTGTGTATAGGTCATGCTTTCCTATTTCTTTGCATATTTCAATATTTTTAATTGAAAACTAAGTATTTTAGATAATATAATGTAAAAACTCTGGAAATCAGATATCCCCCACCCTTAGGGTCTGTTGTAATTGCTGTTTTGTTGTTTCTGCTGCTGCTATTTGTTAGCATAGTGACCTTCCAGGACTAATTCAATAGTCTTTATTCCCTGTACTGTACAACCACTAAAGTCTCTGCTCAGTTAACTTAGTGGTCAGCTAATGATTCGACAGACATTTCCTTAAATTCTGTGAATCAATAAATATTCCATTCTTTGCTGAGAAGCTCTAGATGTATCCATGTGTGTTAAGACATGCCCTCAACATTCAGGCAGCTTAGAACTCTGCCTTAGCCTTCACTTCCTACTTGCACAGAAACTCCAATCAGCCAGAGGTGAAAGAGTAGGGCCCTCTCAGGTCTTTCCCAGGCATGCACACAGCTTTTCACATTTATGCAACCTTTTAGGTCCCCAGGAATGTATCAGAGCTTTTCAAAGACCCTGTGGACTGCTTGTTCCCCAGATTTTTTTTTCAAGTTTTGACCAGGCTCTTGTTTGTCCCATCTGGTATCACAGTGTCAAACCACAGAAGTGAAAATAACCAATGTGGGAGAAATTTTAGGTAAATATTCAATAAACCTTTGTGTTAGGATATGGTGCCAAGAAAAGTGAGGAGACAGAAATGATGCTGAGCCTCCTGTGTCATTCTCCCTGACCTAACTGCATTATGTTCATTTGGAGAAGTGGGCAATTCACTAGCAGAATGGACTCTGCTTGAGAAACAGGCTCTCTTCCTTTACTCAGGATGAACTCCCAATGCCCCACTTACCATCATGCACTACCATCAAGCAAATTTTTCTTGAACTGATTTCCACACAGTTTTACTGTGATTCAGAAGAAAAAATTACTTGGCATGAGATGTTAAGCCTTAAATACAATATAATACAAACCCTTCTGCACATCCAAGAAGAAGATAGATTACATATTGAAGACTAAATCTGGATCATTTTTCTACTGGACAGTGGGGCTGAGGAAGGAAATCAGGCTTCATGACCATTCCATACTGTAATTTTAACTCACAGAATCTGCACTAAAAATTCCTTAAGCACTTACACTGTTAACAAGTTCTATTGCTACAACACACCTGCACATAAAAGAAATGTTTACCCATAGTTTCACCTATGGCAAGTGAAAACAGCTGTTTTATGATGGATATGATATAAAAAAAAACCTACTCCAGAATTTAAATTTACACAACTTAAACTACATAATTTAGAATCAGTATACTCAACAATCTCTAAGAAGCAGCAGCCATTCTTAAATTAGCACTTAAAATGTAGTGGCCATTTTTCTTCAGAATAATTCTCATCAACATCTTTAGCTCAAAAGGAACTCACATATTTTCGTTTTGTTTTTATCCAGCCACTTATAACCATCCTCATGTTCTCTCAGATCTCACATGGTCATCCAGTGTAGCCAAAGAAATGTCCTGGCTCCAAATGCAATCTGGCAGTTGCTATTGATTACCCTGGGCAATTTGGGGTTACTGTGATTTGTTCCTCAAAAGACTGTCACACATTATTATGCCACATTCTAAGTTAGACTTGAGATCCTTTCTCTGTAGGAACAAAAAGAAGAACGTTGGAGCTCTGCTAGGTTACAGATGTGTTAAGTAGTAAGCACAGTATGAAAACCTGAAAACTATCAGTTATTATGGCCAAGTGGTTTCTCTGGTTCTATTAAGGCATCAAAGCTACCTCACTAACTCACCTAAATATATCCTAAACATAAGAAGGTCACTGTTTAAAACAGCAGTAATAATCAGTTACTAGGCTACCATTTGACACAGTGAAATAACCACATTCAAACTCAGATTTTCAGGTAGTCAATCAGCTAGTAAAATAGGTCTAGCTCAATGGATGATAAACACCACTCACTTTACTTATTTCATTATCTGTGACCAGTGACAACTCTTGAAAAAAAATAAATAAATAAACCTTCTATTTTTCCAGGTCAAAAAAGCTGACAAAATCTCAACTCAAAAACTTAACATCTGATGAATATACTAACTTCTCCTTAGGATGTCATTTTTTTGCTGTGGCAAGTGAGTCTGTACAACACTATCCTGGTGCACCAAACCAACACAGAGAGCCTTTTCAAAATAACACAAACACAGGAAAACAATCTTTCCTGACAATGATCAGAAACAGCTTGCAATGGGTCTCAGGGAAGAAAGTGGAGGGACTGGTCAATGCCAAAGAGCAGTATCCTGTGAGTGTTAGCTATATGAGTCTATGAATGATCTTTGAAAGCACAAGAATTACGTTGCAAGACCACTGACTTACCACTACTGAAATTCCCTCTCACACATATCAGTGAATGAGGGTGAGCAACCAGAGGCCTGTTTGGTTGATGCCTGGATCCCCGGCACCCACACATGGGTAAGCACGTAGTAGGGGTAGTAAATGTATGAATAAGTGATTGTCTTATCTATGAGTTAAAAGATAATTAGATAAAATTCACCATCAATGCTGCCAGAAAATGTAACTATTTGTTGATAACTCAACCTCAGTGAGAGCCCCCACTTCTGTGATTATGAAAACCTTTTTCCCTAAGGACCAACACTGGATATCTTCTATCATATTTACTCAAATTGACATCACACGGCTCCAGTTACAAAACACTAAGAATACAGAATTTTTGCTCCTCCCCTACAAAAGCAGATTATAAAGAAACATTAAACTGAGTTTCCACCAAAAAAAAAAAAAAAAAAAAAAAAAACTAGTTATCTTCAGTAAGTTTGCTATGAAATGCAAAGAAAGGCTGAGGAACTGCTCCATACTGAAGAAAATTAGAGTCATGCCAGTAGATCCTGGATCAAATCCTGGACCAGGAGAGAACATTCTGGAATAATCCCCCAAACCCGAACAAGGTCTGTGGAGTAGATGGTTTTATCAGATCAACGCTGATTTCCTGATTTTGATGGCATGTGCTGTGGTTATGTAAGAGAGTAATTTTCAAAAAAGAGTGTTCGCCACAACCAGTACACCATCAGCAGTTCCTGGCTCTGTGGCTTATGGAGATTAGAATAATGGGCAACTTGGATAAAATTCTCAGATTCCAATTACCTGCCAGCAACCCACTGTGAAAGCACTGAGAACACAGGGTAATGTGTTGACACTGAAAATGAGAATTCACAGAACAGTGAAAAGAATGCCAGGAAGGGTAGTAAAGGGACAAAAAGTCCAAGGGAGGAAGCACAAGCATCCAGGTATGGAATAAGAGAACTCTAGAAGGCAATGGTCCTGTCTGGTCTTGGGTCTGGGCAGTTACCAAGGATAACACATAGGAGAGGCATAAAGGGAACAGCTAGGCCCAAACCTAGTGGTTTTCTCATATTTGCTACCAGGAGACCAGGTCTGTGTTATTATTTTCATTAAAAACGAACTGTAAGTATTATTCTGCAATAAAAAGGAACAAAATACTGATCCATGCTACAACACAATGACAAAACATCGGGGTAAATGAAAGAAGCCAACAAAAAGGCCACATATTTTACTACTCCATTCATATGAACTATCCAGAAAAGGATATACTATAAAGACAGAAAGTAGATTAGTGCTGGCTTGGAACTGGGGGGTGGGAATGATGATTAACTATAAACTACAATATGCCACAATTTTCTCATTTAATATATTGCGAAAATTACAGTATCTAACTCATAAAGGTCCTTTGAAGACCAAATGAGATAACAGGTTAAAAGCTTAGAACAATCTCTGGCACTCAGCAAGGGCTCAAGATGTTCACTCACACACACCTTTTAACCTTAAAATAATTAAACCTGGAAATAAATTACAACATTCATGTAATAAATTATAAACACAGAAAATTTTAAGTTTATATTACTTAAAGATTCAACAACAAACTATATTTTCTTTACATAGAAGCCCTTTGCTGAAAATGGACTTCCATTTTACATTTTCACTGTAGTAATTTTTTGTTTTTTTTGTTTTTTTTTTGAGACAGAGTCTCGCTCTGTCGCCCAGGCTGGAGTGCAGTGGCACGATCTCGGCTCACTGCAAGCTCCGCCTCCCAGGTTCACACCATTCTCCTGCCTCACCCTCCCGAGTAGCTGGGACTACAGGCACCTGCCACCACGCCCGGTTAATTTTTTGTATTTTGTTTAGTAGAGACGGAGTTTCACCATGTTAGCCAGGATGGTCTTGATCTCCTGACCTCGTGATCCGCCTGCCTCAGCCTCCCAAAGTGCTGGGATTACAGGCGTGAGCCACTGCGCCCGACCATGATTTTTTATTATAAAGATTAGGGGCCGGGCGTCATGGCTCATGCCTGTAATCCCAGCACTTTGGGAGGCCAAGGTGGGTGGATCACCTGAGGTCAGGAGTTCGAGACCAGCCTGGCCAACATGGTAAAACCCCGTCTCTACTAAAAATACAAAAATTAGCTGGGTGTGGTGGCGCATGCCTGTAATCCCAGCTACTCAGGAGGCTGAGACAGGAGAATCACTTGAACCTGGAAGGCGGAGGTTGCAGTGAGCTGAGATTGCACCACTGCACTCCAGCCTGGGCGACAAAGAGAGGCTCTGCCTCAAGAAAGGAAAAAAAAAAAAAGATTAGGATGTTGTTTATCCTGGCAATAACATCTAGGCCAACAAACTCTGGAAGTCAGTACTACTGGTGCCAAAGGCACCTACCTCACTGACACACATACACTTTCTCATGTTTTCTTGTATTTTATAATACTTGCTGTGGTAGTGGAGGCTCCCAAGTTCTCCCTCCCCAGTAGGTGTCAAACAGTGATATAGATACAGCCTCATGAACTCAGTCTTGTTCACGGGCCCTTTCAATACAGGTACACAAAGTGAAAAGCTGCTAATCCACCACTCCACCAGACAAATAAATGGTTTAATTTTAATCCTTTGAAATAACTACTGCATCGAATATAATCTGTATATCTTTGGTTAAACTACTTTCTCACTGGCATCAACATTTACATTCTCTCATTTATTATCTCTCAGGCCATTATTCTCTTATTCTTCAAGTATTCCCAGAAAAAGTTTCTAACATGAAGAGAGAACAGACAAATTTCAAGGTTTAATAAATTTTATCTTGATAACATCAAAAACAAGTTTAGCTTTTACACTGCAATATAAAAAATACATTAGTCTTCACATTAGTTTTACATGGAAATATATAATTATTTGAATATTTAAATATAGCTTTTCTTTAACCAAAAAAAAAAAAAAAAAGTGTTACTCACAGCCCTAGTTACATAAATAATTTAAATGCACAAATGCAAAAACACACTTCACACGATATTGTTCACATACTGTAGAACTCAGGACAATTACAATAAAAATCTACGCAAAATACTGAACAAGAACAAGATTAAAATACTCATTATGGTCGTAATTTGACTTTTTACTATTAAAAGAATTTAATGCATTCTTGAACACACAAAAACATCAATTGTTTTATCTATTCTGCAAATTAAGCCAACATTTATTTAGACAAAGGGGCACATCTTGTATACTACCAAATTCTGAAAGTAATTTCCAATTTAATTTAAATTATAAGTTTCAACAATTTCAAGTTTTCAAGCTTGTCTAAAATAATGATTACAAGAACTTAGTAAACAAAACATTTCAAAAACTTTAAACAAAATCATCAGTACTGCACTGTACTTTTATGTCTGGTAATATAAAATTTAAATATAAACCTTCTCCCTGCCCCCAATGAAAATGGTACTTAGAAGGGCTTCCAATGTGAAAATGGTAACATTTTTACAACTTGAAATTTTAATTACTTGAATTACAGGAACTGTTCTCTCTGCATGATGTAATCACGATATGACACATCATAGGTACATAGTACACATTTTCATTTGATCTCTTGCTTTTAAACTTACACTGAAAGACTGTAGAATGTCTATTAATAATATTTAAGGGAACTATGTGTCTATTCCATAGGGAAAAAAGACACCAATACCCACAAATATCTTATATATCAGCTGTTTGTTTACTTCCTAGTCAGTAGGACAAAGCTTTGTTCCTAAATTAAAATTGGAGGATTATTTTGAACTACTGGCCCAGTGATCTTTTAAGAAATGAAAATATATTTGTGTATGAGGAGGCAAGGTTGAAGGAAATGAGATATATGCTGCTTTGCAACTAAAGACAAAAACATTTGTTTTTAAACATAATTACTATTTAAATTTAGAAGTAAAGAAATCACAAAAGAACTCCATCATAGCATACACACAGGTTAAATAATGGCCCCTGAAATAAAACCACATTTAGAAACCAACTGTTACACTATATTTCATTATTTCTAAGGTAACACATTTTAAATTCTGAAATCAAGATATGGTTCAACATTGACCTTAGTTTCAATAAAATATGGCAGTCATACAATATAGTTGTAATTCATGTTTCCTCTTAACATTAATGATAGAAGATCCAGGATCTTGGCTTAACACGAATGAATGACAACTGAATGCATCTGTACCAACTCAACCAGTGTCCCTGAATAAAGGTTCTGGATCTATTCTGAGTATCCCAGACTCAAACTGCATCTCGTTAACATCTTTCATTTGAACTGTTAAAATCTGTTAACAAATAGTTAAAGACAAACTAATGTATAAATACAGGTTTCCACTTGCAAAATGGGCCTCCACAAAGATTACCAGTTTTATTCAATTTTTTGAAATATTAAGTAATTTTCTAATGAGAATTAATGGCCTGCCCAAATATTACCAAGCCAATAATTTCAGTTCAAGTTATTAAAAACTGATATGGTAGGCTGGGCATGGTGGCTCATGACTGTAATCCCAGCACTTTGGGAGGCTGAGGCGGGTGGACCACAAGGTCAGGAGTTTGAGACCAGCCTGGCCAACATAGTGAAACCCCCAACTCTACTAAAAATACAAAAATTAGCCGGGCATGGTGGCGCACGCCTGTAGTCCCAGCTACTCGAGAGGCTTAGGCAGGAGAATTGCTTGAACCCGGGAGGTGGAGGTTGCGGTGAGCTAAGTTCAGGCCACTGCACTCCAGCCTGGGCAAGACAGTGAGACTCTGTCTCAAAAAATAATAATAATAAATAAACATAAAAATAAAAACTGATATGGTAATGCCTAAAATATTTTTAGGGGATAAGGCCACAAAATAACCTGGATTTTCATATTAAGCCACCAACTCTTCATGTAGAAGAGAGTAAAGGTGGTTAAAAAAAAGGGGGGGAATGCCTAAACACATGGGCAAAATTATTTTCCCCTTTAAGATCTAATAAGGCTAACCCAAAAAACCTAGAGACTGTATGTGTGCATGTGTCCAAATGATAAAAGTTAGAGACTTGCAGATCCAATTTAAATGAAGCAGGAGGAGTTTGTGCTATGCATAAAAAAAATCACCAGTTTTTAAAAACTGTATTAAAGATTATGGAATCTCATTTTCTGGAATGCTTTAAAAAGAAAGAAAACTTATATTTTGTTTGTATTCATTTAAGTCAACCCCATTCAAAAGTTGACATAATTCATTATAATTCCTTCTTTTTAATAAGTTTGCTATATTCATTCTCACAATGTTAAATTTGCTGGCATGAGAGAGATAATCATAAAAAATAAGAGGGATATGATTTGAGGAACAAAATTCTATATACGGTGCTAAATTATTTTGTGACATAAATTAAGATGAAGTTCTTCTACAGAAAATGTTGGACAAAGGCTGTTTCTGAATCTTAAAATGAAAGGACTCTAAACACTAATTTTAAATGAATATAAAAATTCTGAAAAATAATATTTATAGCAAAATAGTTCAAGATTAGTTTTCTCACCAAAGCTGGGAAAGCTGTGTGCACAAAGTACCAAATATATTTCAACTGAAGTACTGAATCCTCAACTAGCCTGAACACAAAACCAACTTCTATTTTACCTCATTACCTCTCAGTTTGTTTGCTAGCCGAGTCATCATTCTCTCACGTTGTTGTAAACAAGATGAGCTTCTCAGATCATATGCTCTCACAGGTGTAGAAGGACCTTTCTGTCGGCCATGGTAGCTTTCATCAGTCTTCTTCCTCCTTCTTGCAACGCGGCAAGAAGCCCGCACAGGTCGCTTTGGAGGAGGATTTGCCATAGCGCTTGACAGCTCTTCGGCACCAGCTGGTGGAACTGAAGAGTTCAAAAGCACTTTAGCTGTTCTCTTCGCCTTCTTTAGCCTACTGACAACAGATTTTTTCTTCTTCAGATACCTTCCAAGAAAAGCGCTCCTGGACTGATATCTATGACGTAAAAAGACAGAGTATTTCGAAATATACTTTCTAATGATATCACTTGGTTTGGTCCGAATCCAAATTGACTGTTTCTCTGAAGCTTTTCTGGGTTTTTGCTGGAGAATAATTGGTTTATAAACCTTTTTGGGAAAACCTAGCTTATTACTACTAGTTGTCACCCTCTTTCCATGAATTTTCTTTTTACTTTGACTTTCCAAAAGCTTATTTCTAACTGATTTTGGAGAGATTTTGACAACATCATGATTTAAAAATGTTAGCTGGAAATTTCTTTTCTTTGGAAGCTCACGAGCATGCAGAACCTTTGATTCTTCCAGAAACAGAGAAGAGTCACTGGTTCCCTGATGTGAATTAAATCCATATCTTGCCGGCACTGCCATTAAAGGCGCTGAAGCAGAGCCTTGTCCATCAGCATCATTATCTCCTGCACTGGAGTTTTGGTTGCTCCTATTAAAATGAATTTTAACCCAGTTACGCCTCTCAAACTCTGGTACTATTACACTCAGGGGAGGACTAATTACAATTTGCTTAATCAAGGGCTCATAATAATCAAAGATATTCCGTTTATATTTGCATATAAACCGAATATCATTATCCCAACTATGGTGCCTCATTTTAGGGAAAGGAAGGCCTTCACCCTCTTTCAGTTTAATATTTAAAGAAGAAAGAACACAGACTAAGGCTTTGGGTTGCATAGGCTTCAAAACTTTAGTACATGATGCAGGAAATTCAACTGTCCCAATTTTGACTTTCTTTTTGGTTTTTCTGTCATCCTGTAAACGTGAACACTTACTTTTTGGTGGGTCTTCCTCTTGTCTAATTATTTTTCTTTTCATCACTGGGTAATTCTTACAACTGGTCTGAGTACTATGGCTGATTTTCGCTGTCTGGCATTGAGAAGCCACACGCCCCTTTTGCTTAGGAGGCCTCTCTGCTGGAGGATGACGATGGCATGGTTTATCTAAGGCCACTGACAAGTCATCAATATCTGAAATACCACAGACAATATCATCACTCTCTGACACAGCTTGAGTTGGTGCAGTGTCCTCCTTACCTTGCAAGTCAGCCCAGGTAACCTTTTTTTTCCCCTTCGAAGAAACTTTTTTGGTCTCACAGTCATCATCAAAGTAACAGTGGAAACGACCTTCCCTAAACTCCTTCACCAGAGCATTAATTTTTATGTCATCTTCTCTCATTATCTGAGACCATGTTTTCCCCACAAATGAAGGAGGTACATGAGGCAAGGCTTCAAGAACTGGTTCATCAGGATTATCCTCTATGACATCCTTTGCTTTTTTCAGGTTCCTTACAGAATCAACCTTGAGAACAGAGCTTGACTGGGAATCATGGTTCTTTTCTTTCAAGTCAGAAGATACCTTCTTACAAGGGTGTCTTTTCTTAACAGTTTCTTGAGGCTGATCAGTATCAGATGGAAGAGGGGGAGCACACTGAAAATTCATCTCAAAACCATCCGGTTCACAGCTCACTTCTAGATCTCTATGTTTTAGCTTCGAACGTTTTTTTTTATCAGCCCTTCGATGGAGCGCTGACTTGGAAGAGGCACCAAAATCCACTGCAGAAGCACTAGACTGACAGCTCTTACCTTTTAGGCCAGCATTTCTTGGATCCTTCCGAAGACTGGCTTCTTTGTGAGCTTTCTGCAGTCGGTGAGTCGTTCGATGAGAAGTGTCTTCCAAATTAAATTTTCCTTTAGAACCATTATATCCACAGCTCTTATCTTCTGAATCAATATATTTCACCATTTTCTCATCAGGTCCTTGTGACTCGTAAGTCATGGACTGATCAGAGGCATCAACATTAAAATTCATTTCAGAACCACAAGATTGACAACTTGGCTCTCCCAGAATAATATAGTCCTTCTTCCGGTTTATTATTTTGAAAGTCTCTTTGCATTGGTTTGTCATTGAGGGAGTAGAGGCTTTACAATTACATCTGACTTCAGAACCAAAAAAGTCACAGCTCTTATCTTCTATATCAATACATTCTGTATTTATACAGCTGATATCTTTGACAGTCAACTGAGGTGGGTCAGTCACTAACTGAAGGGGAATATCATCTGAAATTACTTCATAATCACTATCACCGGGCACCAGATCCACAAGTACCACCTTTGGAAGGTGGGTTTCTTTGACTGATCCTGGAAATTGGTTAACTACTATTTGAAAAGGAACATCAGAATCATACATCATTTCTGAATCACTAGGTTGATCGGTCTTTTCTTCCATGACAACATGCTCTTCCTTCTGAAGGTCTGCCTCTTTGTAAGACACTTGAGGTTGGTCAACTTCTGACTGAAGATGAACACAAGAATGACATTTTATTTCAGAACCACAGACTTCACAGTTCTTATTTTCTAGATCATTATGATCCTTCTTTTGCAAGTTTATTTCTTTGACAGGTACAGAAGATTGATCAGTCACAAACTGAACAGGAATATGAGAAGCATAACTTACATCAAAATCACCTAATTTATAGCTCTTATCTTCCAGGTAAATATGGTCTTCCTTCCAAAGATTTATTTCTTTGACAGGTTTTTGAAGCTCATCTGCTGCTGCCTGAAAAGAGTCATTGGAATCAGAACTTTCTTCAGGACTATAAGAATTACTGCTCTTATCTTCCAGACTGGCATGCTCCTCTTCCAAAATGTGTGGTTGTTTTATCACTGACTGAAGAGGGATATTTGAAACATAAATTATTTCAGAATCACTGGGCACATAGCCCTTATCATCCAGACAAACATGTTCCTCCCTCAAAAGATTTATTTCTTTATTCGCCCCTGGAATTTTATTAGTTACGGACTGAAGGGGTTCATGAGAATCAAAATTTATTCTGGAATCTGTAGGTTTGACAATCTTATTTTCCAAGTCAACATGCTCTTTCCAAAGACTGACCTCCTTAACTACTTCTTCAGGTTGGCCAGCCACTGGCTGAAGAACATCAGAATCATACATAATTTCAAAACCCTTAGCTTCATTTCTCCTATCTTCCGTGTCAACTTCTTCATCCTTCCAAAGGCTTATTTCTTTAACGGTTTCTCTCAGCCGGTCAGCCACTGACTGAAGAGGGTCATCAGAATCAAAACTTACTTCAGAACCACAACATTGATTGTGCTTACCTTCTAGTTCAATGTGCTCCTGCTCCAAAATAGTTATTTGAGGTCGATTGACTATTGACTGACCCAAGAAACCAGAATCCAAATTCATTTCTGAACAACTATATTGGCTGTTCTTAACTTCCAAGTACATATGGTTTTCATTCCCAAGGTTCACATGTTTAATAGCTACTTTGGGTTGATCAGCCACAGATTGGACAGAAACATCAGGATGATGTATTAATTTATAAGTACTAGGTTCATTAATCTTATTTTTCAGGCCAATAACCTCTTCCTTCCATTGGTCTATTTTTTTAACCGCTTCCTGAAGTTGTTCAGAATCAAAAGTTATTTTAGAATCACCTGATTTACTGTTTTTGTCCTTCAGATTAACATGTTTTTCCTTCAAAAAAGCTAGTTGAGGTTGGTCAGTCATTGACTGAGGTGGAACATTAGAATCCAAAATTATTTCAGAACCACTACATTTATCATTCTTGTTTTCTAGAACATATTGCTTCTTTCTGTTTATTTTGTTAACAGCTACTTGAGGTTCAGTTACTGAATAATGAGGGACACCAGAATCTAAACTTGTTTTTGAACCACTGAATTCAGTACTTCTACCTTGGAATTCAGCGTGCTTTTCTCTTTGAAGCCATGTTTCTTTGACAATTACTTCAGGTTTGTGAGTCGCTGCCTGAAGAGGGACATCAGAATCCAAACTTGTTTCAAAAACACTCTTATTTTCTAAGTACATGTGCTCTTTTGTGTGAAGGCTTATTTCTTTAATGGGATCTTCAGAACGTCCAGTCACTGAATGAAAAATGATATTATAATCCAAACTTACTTCAGAATCAATAGGTTCATTTTCCTTATTTTCTAAGTGTACCTGCTCTTCTTTTTGAGGATTTAGCTTTTTAACAGCTACTTCGGGAGAATTAGTCACTGAATGAAGAGGGGCATGGGAATCCGAACTTATTTCAGAACCACTGGGTTCATCATTCTTCCTTTCTAAGTGAATGTACTCTTCTTTCTGAATTACTTCTTTAACAGCTACTTCAGGGTGATCATTTCCTGAATGAAGAGGAATATCAGAATCAAAAGTTATTTCAGAGACACAAGATTCATTACTTTTACTTTCCAGATCAACAGTTTCTTCCTCATAAACAGCTACTTCAGGTTGGTCAATTACTGAATAAAGAGGAATATCAGAATCAAAAGTTATTTCAGAACTATCTGACTCACAGCTCTCATCTTCCAGGTCAATGTGCCGTTCTTTTCCTTCAGCATCCAGATGAGACTGCTCAGTAACTGACAGAAGAGGCGGGTCAGAATCAAAAGTCAACTCAGAGCTGGAGCAATCATAGCTCCTAACTTCCATGTCAATATTTAACTCTTTAAGATTTACTTCATCCAAAGCTTCTTGAGGCTCATCATGAGCTGAATGATAAAGAGAAGCCGGAGAATCAGAACTCAGAGAAGAACGGCTAGACTGAACACTCTTATTCTCAAGGTCAACATCCACTTTCTGACGCTCTATTTCGGCTACTTGAGACTGGTCAGCTAATTGAGCATCAGCCTGAAAACCCATTTCAGGACCATGGGATTCACAGTTCATATCCATAAGGTCAGCATTCTTCTCCTTCAGAAGATTTATCTTTTCAACAGCCCTCTGGGATTCATCTGCAACTGTCCCAAGTGAGACATCACAATCAAGATGTGCTTTAGCACTACTGGGTTTACGCTTCTTATGTTTTAGGTGGACTTGTCTACCTTTCAGGTTTCTTCCTTTGACAGTCAGTTGGGGATGATCAACTACTGACTCAAGAGAAACATCACAATCAAAACTTGTTTCAGAACAACTCGATCCATAGTTATCAACCAAGCTGGTATGAGCCTTCTTCCGAAGTTTTGTTTCTGTGACAGCCACTGGGGGTCTGTCAACCACTGACTGCAGTGGGAAAACAGAATCAGCACTTACTTCAGAGCTACTGGAACCATAGTTCTTATCAACCAAACCAATGTGCACTTCCTTAGGAAGGTTTACTTCTGTTACAGATTGTTGGGGGTAGTCACTAGTGGACTGAGGTGAAGCATCACAATCAAAATTCGTTTCAGAACTACTAGATTCATAGCTTTGGTCAACCAGGCTAATATGCCTTGCATTCTGAAGACTTATTTCTTTAACAATCATTTGGGATTGGTTGGTAACCAAGTGAAGAATGTCATCACAATCAGAACTTATTTTAGAAACATAAGATTTATTATTCTTATACTGTACATCAGTACGTACTTCCTTGGAAAGGTTTACTTCTTTGGCACTCACTTTAGATTGGTCAGTCAGTGAATGAAAAGAGGAACTGCAATCAAAACTCATTTCTGAACCTCTAGACTCATAGTTATCTTCTTGGTCAATTTGCTCCTCCTTCCAAAGACTTAAGTCTTGTGCAGTCTCTTGGGGCTGATCAGATGCTGACTGAAGAGAGATACAATCAAACTTCATTTCAGAACTCACTGAGCACTTCTGTTCCCAAAAGGCTGTCTTGTTAAAAACCAAATGCTTTTCTTCTTGGGTACAATCCATGTTAGAAAAGAATTCCTCATGGTTCTTTGCAATAGTATCTTCAAAGATTCCTTTATTAGAAGGCATGTCAGTTTTATTCGGGTTTACTGCTAATTTGGAAGGAGATTTAACTCTTAAGGAGCCCTTAGTACCCATGCGTTCATGGAATTTCAAGCCAGCTGATAAAGTTTTACCCTGAGATTTTACATCTTTCCACAAAACCAACTTATCTGAATTCATGCGTAAAGATTTCCTATTTGATTCTTTATGTTTCTGATACGAAAATGAAGTAGTTTCTACATGGGATGATGGCACAGGATTTCTAGAGGCCCCATCTGGCTGTTCAAGATATTTCTCAACTTTGTTTGGGTCACATTTGCTAACTGAATCCAAATGAGCTGCTGGTGGTAAACTAGTTGTATTAGCTGTAACTGGTCTATCGTTAGAGCTTTCAGGTAAACAACTAGCAGGAGCATTACAAATCACTGGGGGGCGTACCAAGTTGCTTCTATTATTTGTAGCCTGACCAATATCTACTAGGTTACATTTTCTCACACTGGCCCCAATTTTATGAACAAACTCCAAGGGCTGCTGCTGTCCCTTCTCCAGTTTTTGAATAACTGATGGTCGAACTGAAACCTCCTGCGTGCCTTCCTGAGATTTATGAGGTCTGGAATGTAACTCTTCAATAGGTTCTGAAACCTCGGATGGTCTCTCTTCGGTAGCATCCTCATCCTCAACCTTATCCTCATCCTCTTCCTCTTCTTCAGAAAAAGCATCATCCAAATGCACCACTTCAGACGATGACCCAGTATTCACATGTGTCTCATCTTGTGTTGAACTAAAACGAAAGGGGGGAAACTCATAAACATATTCTAATGTCTGTTTAAAATATTAAAATAGAGGCATAATAAATGTTATTTGCTTTCTGTTCTGGACTATCCTTAAAGGACAAGGAATCCAGGCAGTCACCCCAGGCTGAACACTGCATGGACCACAGAGGGGGAATTACTGCAGAAGGTGGAGGTGGCTCCACCAATTGCTACTTAAATACAAATGGCCCCTAAACATGAAAAACTAAACAAATAAAATCATATATTATTTTTCAGTTATCAGAGTAGTAAATAGCAAAAAGTTTGACATATGTTACTTAACTTTGTATGCTTCAGTTTCTGCCTCCAAAAAAAGGGAATCTTACACTATTTTCCCTCATGAGATTGTTTTGATGAGTAAATTAATTGTTACATGTAAAGAGCATTAAAACAAAGAAACAGCTTGGCACACAGTAAGCATTCACAAATGTTAGCTATTATTATCTTAACACATTGTTTTGGTGCGGGTGTAAGGACAAAGGCACTTTAATACATTGTTCATAGGAATATAGATCAGTTAACAGTTACTGGTTAACCTCTATGTAGATTTGTAACCTCTACAAACAGCAATTTGGCAATGTCTATTAAAATTAAGAATGTACATACCCTTTGACCTCTAATTCCACTTTTGGTTTTCTCATGTGTTTAATGAACACGTACAAGAATAGTTACTGCTACTTTTGAGCGGAGGGAGGGGTAATAGCAAATGACTAGAATCAACCTGAATACTCAGTAACTGGGTACTGGTTAAATAATTAATGGTATTTAATGGAATACAATGTGGTTTTTAAAAATAATAAAGCGGCTCTATATATACAAATAAAAACCAATTACTATAAACATTGTTAGTGAAAAGCAAGGGTACACAGAAAGCTACCATTTATGTAAAATAGAAGGGAAAAAAATAATGCACTTAGAATATCTGGAGAATGGCACATACAACTGTAGAAGTCTAGAGGTGTCAAGTGTTACCTCTAGGGAAGTGACTACAGGATGGCAGCAATTTAAGAAGACTTACTTTTGAACGTGCACTGTGAATTATGTCTATGTATATGTATTTCCCATTCAAAATTTAAATTCCATTATTTTTAAAAAGACCCAAAACTTTCATATCTAAAATCAGTCTATGAATCTCTTCTACCAGTATCAAGACAACATGTTTGACCAAAGCATTTCAGGGACTGTTCTTTCATGTACATAAAACCAACTGACCTAATGATATTGCCATGGCCTGAATTCTTAAAGTCGGGCAAACATTCATTCATGTAACAACCATCTACTAAGGACTTACTACTGCATTACAGGCACTATGCTAGGTACTAAGGCAAATTCAAAAAAAGTTAAGCTGCCTTTTAAAGACCATTCAAGTAGCTGCAGAAGGCAGACACATAAAAAATAATAACAATTCAAAGAGATAAGTATCATCACATCTAGACCTGTTTAAAAAAAAAAAAAAAAAGATTAAACTGTCACAGCCAAGAGGGACCTAAAGAGACATTACAAGTTAATGTAATGTGGTATCCTGGATGTGATTCTGAAACAGAAAAAGTAGTAAAACTAAGGAAATCTTAGTTTAAGAAAACTTAGTTTAAGTAGAAACTAAGAAGTCTGAATAAACCATGGACTGTACTAATATCAGTTCATTACTTATAACAAATATATCACATTAATGTTAATAATAGAGAAATTGTGTGAGAGAGTATTATAGGCACACTCTGTACTATTTCCTCATTGTTTCCATTAATCTAAAACTGTTTGTTTATAAAAATAGCCTATAACAATTAAAAATAAACACCTAAAAATTTATTGAATTTTTCCAATTTGAGATGTCATTTGTCTAAGAGAACATGCATACATGTGTCAGCCATATGCAATTTCATTTTAGCCTAAGTATTACTATCCCATATAAATTTATTACCTTAATATTAATTTTGAATTTAGAAAATAAAGTTAACCCTGCATCAAAAGTATTGTGATGCAGCAAAAAACAATTCTAATTTTTCATACTTCTCAACAATGACACTGCAGTGCAACAATCACTTCACTCTAGTTTTTCAGAACCCTAAACTATCTTCATTTGTCTTAAGGACTATCACAACATTCTCAAAATAAAACCAATTGTGCAATATGTAGCTAAGAAAAGAAAGAAAAGGGAAAAAAGAAAAGAAGGTATAATCATAAAATCATACAGCTGGTAAAATCCCAAGAAGGTCATGAACTGCCATCTGGATGCTTTGATCTGCATCTGTATTTGTGTGTGTATAATATGCTTAACAATTAAATCATAATCCACATTTAACTCATCATTTGTAACCACACAACAACAAAAAAAGCTCTCTAAAAATCTAACCATTAAAGATTAAAAACCACTCTTTTGGCCAGGTGTGGTGGTTCATGCCTGTAATCCCCCCACTTTGGAAGACTCAAGTGAGAGGATCACTTGAGGCCAAGAGTTTGAGACCAGCCTTGGCAACATAATGAGATCCTGTTTCTACAAAAAATTTAAAAAATAAGCCAGGCATGGTGGTACATGTCTATAGTCCCAGATACTCAAGAGGCTGAAGCAGGAGGATCACTTGAGCCCAGGACTTTGAGACTACAGTGAGCTATAATCACACCCTGCACTCCAGCCTGGGCCACAGAGTGAGACCTACAAACGAACAAAAAACAGCTAAACTCTTGAGCTAAAAAGAAAAACTCTTGAGCTAAAAAAAAAAAACATTTTTTAAATTATCTAAAAGAAATAAAAACTATGAGATATGGCCAAAATAAAAACATCATATTTTTAAATACTTCCATTAAGAAAAGAATTCATAAATACAACTGGGCACCCAATTTAAGACGAAAAAGATAACAACCAAATTGCCCCCATAAAAAGGTAGACGAAATACATGAAGAAAAGGAAAAAATTAATGAAGATGAAACAAAAATAAAGCAAGAACTGATTTTCAGGAGAGCTAAAATAGAAAAATTTACAATGTCTAGACAAGGGGGAAACAGAAAGGAAATGTTTTAAAATCATAAATCCTATAAGTTAGAAAGTTTATACATACATAATAAAATAATGTACTATTGGCATGGGATTTTTTTTAAATCAAGGAAACAAAATGGTATTCAAAATGAGATATACACACACACATATACACAAATACAAGAACTCGGGTTATGACACAGGTGGTGACATTTTATATCAGCAAGGATAATTAGAGATACAAGAAGTCCTGCCTCACACCACATATAAAAACAAACTCCAAGATGGTTATAAATATTTAAAAGAAAAAACAAAGGCATGAAGAAAAAGGCATAAAAGAAGCCATAAAGAAAAATTCTCCTTACATCTGATTAAATCAAAAATTTTAATTTCTGTATAATAAAGAATAACATATACAGTTAAAAGACAAACAATTAGGTTCTGAAAAAAATCTGTAACACATTTAAAATACAAAGGATATTACTCATACTCAAATATTTCTTACAAAGCCAAAATATACAAAGAACTCCATAGAAAAATGGGCAAAGTATATTAACAAACATATCATAGAATAAAATATGGCCAATCAGTATACAAAAAAGTTCTACCTGAAAATAGATAATATGGGATTATCAGTATGTATATCTACACATTTTTGGCCTATTAGGTTGGGAGGGAAAAAAGAAGCTGATAATCCCAGTGTTAGCAACAGTGACAGGAAACGAGCATTCTCTTATGCTGCTGGTGTGAGTATAAATTGGTATAGCCTTCTAGGAAGTGTCTAGCAAGGACTTCAAATGTTCATACACAATTTGAGCAACAAAATAAATAATAAATAGTAACAAATTAAAACCCATAGAATAAAGGAAATATCCATGAGTCTATAATGATATAAATAAGTATTAAATACTTGAATAAGTGAAAGAACAAGTGAAGATCTCCTTTATGGTAGAATTTTGATCAAAGAATCATTAATGGTTGCATAAAATCAGTGGGCAAAAGTAAGATAAGAAACAAGGTATTTACATAGTCTCAAAGTTCTTCCCCATACGATCCTTATTAATTAGGAAAAACAGTAACTTCACAGTGGAGTAACTTGGCAGACAGTAGTACCTTAATCAAGTGGCTCAAGCTAACATCACCCAAAATGACACGGCAACATTATGTGTCTCCTGATGCTACACACTGAGAAGGGCACATCGATTCTAAGATATTCACGCCCAAAATGCATAACCGAAGTTTAATCATAAGAAAATATCAGGCAGACACAAATTGAAGGCTATCCTATAAATTAACTGGCCAGTACTCTATAAATAAAGTATCATGGTCTTAAAAACAAAGACAAACTGAGGAACTATTTAAGATAAAGGAAAACTAAGGAGATGCTGACAACGAAATGCAACGTGTGATTGTGGACTGGTTCCTGGTCCAAGAAATGGACATGAGTTAAGACAACCAACAAAATTTAAACAAGGTCTACAGATTAGCTGTTAGTATGGTATCAATGTAATTTCTTGGTTTTTGGTTTTTGTGTTTTTAAAACTGGCTCCCTCTGAGCAGGGTTCAGGGAATTTTTTGCTTTGGGTTTGTTTGTTTGTTTGTTTTGAGACCAAGTTTCGCTCTTGTTGCCCAGGCTGGAGTGCAATGGCACAATCTCAGCTCACCGCAACCTCCGCCTCCAGGGTTCAAGCAATTCTCCTGCCTCAGCCTCCCTACTAGCTGGGATTACAGGCATGCACCACCATGCCCGGCTAATTTTTTGTATTTTTAGTAAAGGCAGGGTTTCTCCATGTTGGTCAGGCTGGTCTCAAACTCCCGACCTCAGGTGATCCGCCCGCCTCGGCCTCCCAAAGTGGTAGGATTACAGGCGTGAGCCACTGCGTCCAGCTTGGGGCTTGTTTTTTTTTTTAGAGGCCAAGACAGGCCTCACTATGTTGCCCAGGCCGGATGCATCTATTCACGGGCGGGGGGGAGGTCAAAGTACACTGCAGCCTCCAACTCCTGTAGTCAAGTGATCCTCCTACTGCATTTGTAGTTTCCTAGTTTTTATCATTGTACTGTGGTTTTTTAAAATCTTTTTTTAAGAAGGAGTCTAGCTCTGTCACCCAGGCTGGAGTGCAGTTCAAGGAATTCTTCTGCCTCAGCCTCCCGAGTAGCTGGGACTACGGGTGTGTGCCAACATGCCTAGCTAATTTTTGTATTTTTAGTAGAGACAGGGGTTTCACCATGTTGGCCAGGCTGGTCTTGAACTCCTGACCTCAAGCCATCAGCCCACCTTGGCCTCCCAAAGTGCTGGGATTACAGGCGTGAGCCACCGCACCTGGCCCTCTGTGGTTATTTTGGATTTAATATTTGAGAAAGCCAGGGGAAGGTGATCCAAGAATTTCTTGTACCAGTTTTACAACATTTTTGTTAGCCTGAAATTATTCCAGAAAGGAAAGATAAAAAATAAAAATAAAAAATTTTTAAGGTCCGTAAACTCTGACCCAGAACTTCAAATTCTAGCAAGCTATACCATAGAAATAGTTGCATGTGGCCGGGCGTGTTGGCTCACGCCTGTAATCCCAGCACTTTGGGAGGGCGAGGCAGGCAGATTACCTGAGGTCGGGAGTTCGAGACCAGCCTGGCCAACATGGTGAAACCCTGTCTCTACTAAAAATACAAAAATTAGCCAGGCATGGTGGCATATGCCTGTAATCCCAGCCACTCGAGAGGCTGAGGCAGGAGAATTGCTTGAGCCTCGGAGATGGAGGTTGCAGTGAGCCAAGATTGTGCCATAGCACTACAGCCTGGCCAACAGACCGAGACTCTGTCTCAAAAAAAAAAGAAAAAAAAAATTCATGTAAAAACATGTTTGCTGAAGCACTGCTTATGAGAGTTATACATTGGAGCTGGGCACGGTGACTCATTCCTGTAATCCCAGTACTTTGGGAAGCCAAGGTGGGCAGATCACTTGGGGTCAGGAGTTCAAGACCAGCCTGGCCAACATGGCAAAACCCAGTCTCTACTAAATATACAAAACAATTAGCCAGGCATGGTGACGGGTGCCTGTAATCCCAGCTACTTGGGAGGCTAAGGCAGGGAGAATTGCTTGAACCAGGGAGGTGGGGGTTGCAGTGAGTTGAGATCATGTCACTGCAGTCCAGCCTGGGTGACACAGCAAGACTCCGTCTCAAAAAACAAAAACAAAAACAAAAAAAACCTGGAAATTTATACTGACCCCAGGATAGGCTAATTCTATCTTCCCACCAGCTAAGAAACCATCTTGTTTTCCTCTAACTTTTCCCCATTAAAATATTTTTGCCATTTCTAAGGTCTATGTTAGTGATTTGCAAGGCAAAGAAGTTTATCCCTTTTTCTACTAACTGGTGCACATCTCAGTTAACTGCACAGATGTGCTAATGATCGATTTTTACCTTATCTTGTACAGCGGGAGCTACAAACATATTATAATATTTAATCTGATTTTCTACCAATGTTTTTCTTTAACATAGGGCATTAACTCTTAAATGTTATCAAAATAATTATTTTTATTAAAAACAACTAAAACAAATGGATACAAGAAAAGCTATCAAAATACAGACAGATTTAAAAACCCAATTCTTTTGGCTACCTCTTTTCCTCAGAATTAGCAAAGAGTTCTATTAATGTGGATTTGACTCAGTTTTGACTTGATTGTCCTTACTCTGCTATTGTCACCAGTTTTTCTGTTGCTAACCTTTTAAAAACCATTTTGCCAGGTGTGGTAGCTCACGCCTGTAATCTCAGCACTTTGGGAGGCCAAGGCGGGTGGATCACCTGAGGTCGGGAATTCGAGACCAGCCTGACCAACATGGCGAAACCTCAACTCTAATAAAAATACAAAAAATTAGCCAGGCGTGGTGACACATGCCTGTAATCCCAGCTACTCGGGAGGCTGAGGCAGGAGAATCGCTTGAACCTGGGTGGTGGAGGTTGCGGTGAGCTGAGATCGTGCCATTGCTCTCTACCCTGGGCAACAAGAGCGAAACTCCATCTCAAAAACAAACAAACAAAAAAAACTATCTCTTCCTCCTTTTCCCCCTGCTTAATCCTATAACATACTTATAAAACATCTTAATGATATATAATTATTAGCCTAAGACTTTTATTTAGAAAAAAACATAGTGTAGTCCATATCTTCTGTAGTGAAATTTCTTACTTCAGCTAAGAAAAATTTTAAATTGCAAATGAAAGTTACTAAAATTTTACTTTATATTCCTTGACTCAAAGATTCACTTAAAGTATTGATTGGGACATGAACACAAACACCTACTGTAACATATAACTACGTATAAATATTATTCCAATCAACTACTTTACCTGCTCTCTTGACAATGATATGGGTGGTGCTGCAGTACATCCTGTAAGAAACGTTCCATCAAACTACTGGTACATATTTGACGTCTACTCTGTCTGGTCAAACTCCTGTGCTGAGCACTGAACAAATGCTATAAAGAAAAAAGAAATGGAATATTTTTAAATGGACAGTATTCAGTAGTGAGAGTTCGACAAAATGGATTCATTTCTATACTCTTGGTAAAATTATGAATTGAAAGCTTTTCTATAAAGCAATTCTGAAATTTGCATCTAAAAACCATAAAACTACTTTCCCTTAGGTAAAATAATGAGATTTCCCTAAGTACAGCCTAAGGAAATAGTCTTAAAGGTAAATGATTCATGCAAAAAAGATGCCATTATCATAGCATAACAAAAAACTGGAAACCTCCTAAGTTTCTAACAGTAAAAGACTTCAATTATAATAGGCTCTAAGATGTAATACTATGCAGCTATCTAAAATAATACAAAGAATTTTAAGTAACATGGGAAACGTTACATATTAAGAAAAAATGAGTGTGGTAGTGTGGCCGAGTGGTCTAAGGTGCTGGATTTAGAAAATTTTTAATAACATGGGGAAACGTTACATATTAAGAAAAAATGAGTGTGGTGTGGCCGAGCAGTCTATGGCGCTGGATTTAGAAAAAAATGAGGAATGCAAAAACCACACGTATGGTTTCATGTCAAACTACAGTTTAAAAACATACAGACAAGTAAATGGAAGAAATTACAGTAGTCCCCTATTATCCGCAGGGAATTTGTTCCAAGACCCCCAGTGGATGCCTGAAACGGTGGATAGTACCAAACCTATATATGTTTTTCCTTACATACCTATGATAAAGATTAATTTATAAACTACACACAGTAAGGGATTAATGACAATAACTGATAATGAAATAAAACAATTATAACAATATACTGTAATAAAAGTAAAATAAGGGTTACTTGAACACAAGCACTGTGATATCCAACAGTTGATCTAATAACCAAGACAGCTACTGAGTGACTAATGGGCAGACAGCAGGAATACGCTGGACAAATGGATGATTCATGTCCTGAGTGGGACAATGAGTGGCAGCGAAGGATTTCATCAAGCTACTCAGAATAACATGCAATTTATTTGCCCATTTATTTCTGGAATTTTCCATTTAATATTTTCGAGCCACATCTGGCTGTAACTGAAACCAACCACAGATAAGGGGGGACTAGTGTACACCAAACCTTACTAGTACAGATATCAGTGTGGTGCAGTTATGGGTAATTTTTCAATTTTTCTTATAAATTCTTATATTTTTCAATGAGTAAATGTTTTTTAAAATGAAAATCTGTTAAGAGAGAGAACAGGGTTGGATTATTGTATTAAAAGAGGTCAAAGATTGACAAAAAAGGTACCTTTATTTTCTTTCAGAAATTAAAAATCCCAACTTAAACACAAAATTAAAATAAATACACTAAATTTTTCAGTCTTGTAACTCTCTCTACAGTTAGAAAGATTCTTTCTTTACTAATATTATTTAGTGGAGTAGCAAGCAGAATGGGAAAAAGTCTACCTATGGGGCACCTATGATGTACCAAACACAGTGCTATTCCATTTACACAGTAATCTTCATTGACTTTTCACTGAGTAAGAATATCGTCCCCATTTAGCACGAAAAGACTAAGGCACAAAAAATTAGAGTAAACTGGGCTGGGCGCAGTGGCTCAGGCCTGTAATCCCAGCACTTTGGGAGTCTACAGTGGGCAGATCACCTGAGGTCAGGAGTTTAAGACCAGCCTGGCCAACAAGACGAAACCCTGTCTCTACTAAAAAATAAAAAAATAAAAATTACCCAGGCATGGTGGTGCTGCGCGCCTGTAGTCCTAGCTACTTGGGAGGCTGAGGCAGGAGAATTGCTTGAACCCTGGAGGCGGAGGTTGCAGTAAGCCGAGACTGCATCACTGCACTCCAACCTGGGTGACAGAGTGAGGCTCTGTCTCAAAAAAAAAAAAAAAAAAGAAAAGAAAAGAAAAAAAAAGAATTAGAGTAAACTGCCCAAAGTTTTATAATGAGCAAACAGCAAGGCCAGGATTTGAATCTAACTCTGAAGCTTATCCTCTTTCATTGTATTATGCTAGCAAATAGCAAATGGCATATTTCTAACATGTTATTTATAATTTAATAGTGCATTTTAATTTAACAATACTTAGAAAAGACATTTTAAAATATCACGGTAAAGGTGTTAAAGAACTTAAATCAGGTTGCTAGCTCCTGACCACTGTGTTACAACTCTTGGAATTATTTTCTTCCATGTTGACTTCAGAGGTCCATGCTAGTGCTCCTAGCCCCAGGAACAATCTAAATTATGATGCTTTCAAAATCCTGCTACGAAACTCTCCACTGTCCAGGACCCATCACCAGAGTTAGACTGCCTGGTGATTAAAGGGGACAAATGCACAAGGAAACAAATAAATATTCAGTTAAAATTCAACGTTACTGAATAAAGAATATGTGGTACATATACATCATGGAATACTACACAGCCATAAAAAATGAGATCATGTCATTTGCAGCAACATGGATACAGCTGGAGGCCATCATCCTAAGCAAATTTACACAGGAACAGAAAACCAAATACCACATATTCTCACTTTTAAGTGGGAGCTAAACATTAGGTACATGTGGACATAAAGATGGGAATAAAAGGCACTGGGAGACACTGGGTCAGGAGAGACAGGGCAGGGGGAAAGGGCTCGAAAAACTACCTATCAGGTACTATGCTCACTAGCTGGGTGATGGGATCATTTGTACCCCAAACCTCAGCATCACACAACATACCCACGTAACAAGCCTGGACATGTGTCCCCCCGAATCTAAAATAAAAGCTGAAATTACAAAAATAAATACTAAAATCCAACCTTGTCCTCTCTCTGCCAAGGCAAAAAGAAAAAAGCAATGTGAATAGAAAACTTCATTTACATCCTATAAGGTATCCGTTCCTTTAGATTTTTTGAATTGATGTATAACATAAAGTACACAAATCATATGCATACAGCTCAATCAACTATCACAAAGTAGACACATCCTTACCATCTATCCATAAAAAGTTGACAAGCATCCAGAAATCCCTGTAATGCCCCATCCCAATCCCTTCCCTTTTCCCCAAAAGTAACTATTACCTAACTTTTAATACTATAGTTTTGAAATTTTCTGAAATGTATATAAATGGAGTCATATAATATGTATGCTATTGCATTCAGCTTATTTTACTCAATATTATATATGTGATATTCATACATATTGGCTGAATCTGTTCATTTTCTTTTCTGCATATTCATTGTATGAATATGCCATATCTTATTTATTCATTCTACTCTTGATGGACATTTGTGTTGTTTCTAGCTTTTGGCTATTACTAATAATACTATGAAGAACCTTCTTGTATGTGTCTTTTGGTGCCAATGTGCATGCATTTTTGTTGAGTGCATTATTAGGAGTGAAACTTCGGGGTCATAAAATTTGCATATGTTCAGCTTTAGTACTCCCTACCGACCAGTCTTCCAAAGTGGCTGTACAAATTTATATTCCCTACCAGCAGTATTCCTATCTCCTTATCAACACTTGCTATTGTCAGTCTCTTTAATTTTAGCTATTGTAAGGATGTTTATTGTTATATCACTGTGGCCTTAATCTGTAATTTTTGCAATAGCTTTTCATATTTACTAGCCATCTGGATATCCTCTTTTACATTGGGTCTGTTCAAGTCTCTCTGTTTTTCAAATGGATGTTCTGTCTCTTCCTTATGGACTTGTAGAAATTCCCTATTCAGGACACCAGTTCTTTGCTCAATTATATGTGTTTCAAGTACCATCTTCCTCTCTGCAGCTTCTTTTCACTTTCTTAATCATCTTCCATTGTTTAACTTTATTGCAGTCCGGTTTTATCTTTTTTTCTTTGTCAGTGCTTTTTGTGGCCAGAAATCTCTCTTTACCATCAAAGTCATAGAGATTTTCTCCTGTTTCTAGAAGCTTTACTATTTTGGCTACAACATGTAGCCAAATCATAGTCTACTTCTAACTGATTTTTATATGCAGGGTGATTCGGCAATAAAGTTTCATTTTCCTCTCCATATGAATATTCAATTGACCCAGTATCATTTATTGAAGAAAGTCCTGTCCTCACTGCTGTGCAGCACCTTTGTCACAAATCAGACATCCATAAATGTGTCTGTTTCTGGAATTCCTGGTTTTTTTCCATGGTCTTTCTAACTCTGCAGCAAAACTGCACTATTTTAAAGACTAAAGACTAAAGTTTCATAAGTTTTAGTATCTGATAGAGGACATCTATTCACTTTGTTCTTAAGATTATCCTAGTTCTTCTGAGCCTTTTACTTTCCCACATTTATTTTTGGAATTGGCTTTTCATTAAAAAAAAATACTTCTCTGAGATTTTGATTGAAATTACATTGGATAAATATAACAATCTAGGCAGAACTGACATGTTTACAATATTGATTCTTCAATCCATGAACATGAAAATTTCTTTCAAGGTTTATAGTTTCTAGTTTAAAGATCTTACATTTTCTTATGTTTATTCCCTAGATTTTGATGTTCTTTGATGCTATTGTAAATGATTTTTTATCTCATTTTCTGCATGGTATCTGTATATAAAAATACACTTTCTTTTTACATTAGTGTAACAACCTTTTAAAATCACTTATTGATTCTAATGGTTTATCTAGATATCTTTTTAGTTTTTATGTCCACCATCATGTTGTGTATAAATAATAGTTTTATTTCTTCTTATCCAATCTTTATCATTTTTATTTTTCTTTCCTTATTTCTTTGACTAGGACCTCTGACAAAATATTGAATACAGTTGTAATTCAAGCATCAAACCTATTTTCACTTAATGTATTACTGATAGAGTTGTATTTAACTTTTTCAATCTGTTACTCTTGCCTATACAACTATCCCTTTTCCTCTCCTTTCTTGTCTTCTTGTGGACTACGTTTCATCATTTCAATTTTTCCTTTTCTGTTAACTCTGTAGTTAGTTACAGACTTTTCATAGTCTATTTTGGTAAGAGATTACAATGAGCAACCCTGAACTGTCAACGCCTAAAATTACTTGTTACTTTTATTCTCTTTATAAACAATGCAAAGTCCTTAGAAATTAACATCATTTACTCCCCTCCCAATTTATATGCCATTGTTGTTCATCCCACAAGACAGTATTCACTTAGATTGATTGCCTACATATTTACCTTTCCACTGTTCTTCATTACTTCCTGTATCTCTGAGCTTCCATCGGGAATCATTTTCCTTCTGCCTGAAGAACTCCTTTTTAGTTTTTCCTTTAGTGAGAGTCTGCTGGTGACAAATTCCCTTAATTTTTATTTCCTGAAAATAGTTTTATTTCACCTTCCTTATTAAAAGATATACGTATTGAGTAGAGAATTCTAGGTGGCAGTTGTTTTCTTTCTTTTGGCTTCCATTGTTTCTGTTAAATACTTCACTAGATATGGGCCCCATATTACTTCACTGCTTTTACAGTTCTCCAAAGCCTTGAAATACAAGGCTGCAAACATTGTCAACAAAATATTATTAATAGCAAACCAAATCCAGCAACATATAAAAAGGATTATACACCATGACCAAGTGGGATTTATCCCACAGATGCAAAATAAGTTTAACATCTGAAAACCAATCAATCTAACTGCTATAGGTTGAACTACATCCCCCCAAAATTCACATGTTAAGGTTCTAACCCCTAATATTTGGAGACAGGGCTTTTAGGAGGTAATTTAGGTTAAATGAAGTCCTAACAGTAGCGACATCTTCAATAGGATTGGCGGCCTTATAAAATAGGAAGAGAAATCGCCGTCTCCCTCTGCTACAGGAGGACACAGTGAGAAGGGCTGTTAGGTATTGGTCTGTGGCCTGCTAGGAACTGGGCCACAGAGCAGGAGGTGAGCGGCAGGCAAGCAAGCGTTTCCACCTGAGCTTCACCTCCTGTCAGATCAGTGGAGGCATTAGATCCTCATAGGAGCGTAAACTCTATTGTGAACTGTGCATGCAAGGGATCTAGGTTGCGTGCTCCTTTTGAGAATCTAATGCCTGATGATCTGAGGTGGAACAGTTAAATCCCAAAACCACCCCTCCACCCCATCTGTGGAAAAATTGTCTTCCACGAAACCAGTCCCTGGTGCCAAAAAGGTTGAGGACCGCTGATTTAAGCTACCTAGTCTATCGTATTTTATTATGGCAGCCTGAGCTGATGAATACTGTAATATATTACATTAATAGACTAAAGGAAAAAAACACATACATCTAATAGTTGCAGAAAAGCATTTGACAAAAGCCTATACCCTTTCATGATTAAACACTTAGCAAATTAGGCTAAAACCCACAACTAACATCAAACTTAATGATGAAAGACTGAAAGTTTTCTCCCAAGATCCAAAAAAAACCAAGGATATCCATTCTCACTACTTTAACACTCATCATACTAGAAATTCTAGCAAGAGCAATTAGGCAAGAAAAAGAAATAATGGCATCCAGATTGGGGAAAAAAGTAGTAAAACTATTTGGAGAGAACATAATGTAGTACATAGAAAATCCTAAGGAATCTACAAAAAAAATTATTAGCATTAATAAACAAGGTCAGCAAGGTTGTATGATACAAGATCAATATTTAAAAATCTATTGAAGCTCTCCATACACTTGCAATAAACAATCCAAAATGAACTTAAGAAAACAATTCCATTTACAATAGCATCAAAAAGAATAAAATGCTTACGAATAAATTTAGCATAAGAAGTGTGAAACTTGCACATTGAAAATTACAAAACACCACTGAAAGATTTTAAAGCTCTGCGTAAATGGAAATACATACCTCTATTCATGGATTGGAAGACTTAATATTAAGATATACATTCCCCATGAATGTATCTACAGATTCAACACAATCCCTATCAGAATTCCAGCTGCTTTTCTGCAGAAACTAACAAAGTGATCTTTAAATTCACATGGAAATACAAGGAACCAAGAATAGCCAAAACAATCTTGAAAAAGAGGAACAAAGTTGGAGGACTCAAATGTCCTGATTCCAAATTTTGCTACAAAGCTACAGTAATCAAGACTATGTGGTGCTGGCATCAGAGAAGATATATAGATAAATAAAATGGAACTGAAAGTCTAGAAGTAAACCTTATATTTATGGTCAACTGATTTTCAACAAGGATGTCAAGGCAATTGAATGTGGAAAGGATAGTCTTCAACAAATGGTGCTGATACTACTGTATATCACATGCAAAAGAATAAACTTGGAAAAAGATGGCCAGCACAATGAACAAACAACTATATTTTAACAAAAACAACTGAAGAAGGGCAATGGAGTGCATCAGAGGAGAAACAGAAACCAGGGTGAGCATAGAACTCAGAATGGCAACACAGAGAGCAGAAGGGAATGCCAGGCCTCCACCACCCCATTCCCAACTGGGATCAGCTGGGAACCAGGAAGAACTTCTCTCTATAGCAAGGAGGCAAGCAAGAGGATCCCAACAACCAACCCCCATTAACACCTTGGACACCTACAGACCTCACCCCTGCAGTCCCCACAGGGACAAAGACCAGCTGAGGGAGCCGTCTGGGGTCAACACCACTGTGTTCCCCTGAGAGAAGAAGCCAATACTGTGCCCTGACCCCTGTGACCCATGTGGCTACACCATCTTGCAAGTGGAACTATGGCTGAAACGTGTTTTGCTCCATTGGCAAGTAGCCATGGCTCCCTTTTGTCCCTGAGGCTAAGCCACTGCTGAATCATCCCAGCCCGGTGGCCTCACATCCCCAGGCCAAGCTACAAACAGTGGTTAAACCCTTCCTCATAGAACCAAGAAGAAGTGAAGCCACTTCACCCACCTCTCCTCTCACCCCATCAGGCTGGAGCTGAAGTGGTACCCTGCCTCCCAGAAAAATAGTACCTCAGCGGCTCAAAGAAGTCATGCGTCCCCAGTGCCTAGGTTGAAGTAGCATCCTGAATTGCAGGAAACTGCCTTACATATTCAGAGTAGTCACACACCCCAATACCTAAGCTGAAGTGGCACCTTGCATCCCAGAGAAATGGCCGCCAGGAACACTCACGCCACTGTCCCCCAACCCCGCCCAAACCTGAACTGAAGCAGCACATTGCCCCCTGGGGAAATAGTGTCCTGGCCAAGCTGAGCAGCTGTGCACCCCAGGGCTGAGTACCTCATGTCCCAGGGAAACAGAGCAGTGGCTACGCTTAGACACCTCATCCTACTAGCCAAACAACTCTAGTACTCTGCTTTCCTAGACCAGACTAGACCCCTAGAGTCTGAGCTGCTGAGACATTCATTTACCTGGGGAATGGAGTCATTGTTGTACTGTTCCCTGCCCTACCCTGGGTCTAAACAACAGCTGTGTATCTGCTGCTGCTGAGTCCCACCATCCCAGTGTCTAGAGTCACTACTACACAATGCCTCATCCCCTGAGACCTAAGTTGCCACTGAGCTCTGAACTGCAGCCACACCCTGCTCCCCAGGATCAAACCTCCAGAGCAACTATTTTTCCCTGGAGTCAGGTCAGTGCTGTGCCCTGCCCTTCAGGGGTAGAATCTCAGCTACGACCTGATGCCCTGGGCCCCAGCTACTAGGGGGTGCCTAAAAGTTACAGGTCCTGGCTCTGTGGGCAACCTACATCCAACCCCACCAAAGAGCAAATCTGTACCCCAAGATCCAAGTGCAACAATAGGTTCATAAGCCTATGAGCCTAGGACCCTGGTCCCACAACCACTCCAAGCACCTGCAACCGGAACACAGTGCTACTAAAGCTGCTTGCTTATAGGCCACGTCACACCTAACACCAAGAGGGATCTACTCAGTTAAGTCTCCCCATCGTAATGAAAACAAGAACAGGTGGATCCCAGAAGCCCTTGACATCAAGGACATTCACAGCCTATGCTGCTGCCACTGCCACAAACTTCTACAGTGTAGGCCACTGAAGTGCCCACAGTTATTGCTGATGGTGAACACAGCTGAAGAAACTGAATGAAGACTATATACCACTGCATCTATCTAGCAACAGAGTAACCACACTCTCCCAACTAGAACATTAAAGCCCAACTGCAGGTAAAAGTTATAAAAGTTATTCAATATGAAAGCCACTCCAGAAAGTATGGAAGAAGTAACTGTTCCACCAGATGCAGAGACATCAATGCAGGGACATAAGAAACATAAAAAAGCAAAGAAATATAACATCACCAAAGGAACATAACTTCCTCATAAAAATAACCCAATGAAAATAAACTAATTTCTGAAAAAGAATTCAAAATAAAGATCTTAAGGAAACTCAATGAGAGACAAGAAAATATATATAGACAATTCAACAAAATCAGAAAAACCATTCACAATATGAACAAAAATTCAACACAGATAAAAATCATAAAAAAGAACCAAACAGAAATCCTACAGCTAAAGAATTCCATGAACAAAATAAAAAATACAATACAGAGATTCAATAGCAGATTTGATAAAATTGAAGAAAGAAATCTCTGAATTTTTAGATCAGTCATTTGAAATTACCCAGTCACAGGGAAAAAAAGAAATAATGAAAAAGAGGTGAAAAAAACCTACAAGACTTATGGGACACCACTGAGTGAACAAATATTTGTGTTATAGGAATCCAGATGGGGAAGACAAGAAGAAAGGCATAGAAAACCTATTTAATGAAATAATAGCCAAAAACTTCCCAAGTCTATGGATATCCAGATATGAGAACCTCAAAGAATCCCAAATACATTCAACCCAAAAAGGTCCTCCTTGAGGCACATTATAAACTGTCAAAGGTCAAAGACCAAAGATGGAATCTGAAAAACAGCAAAAGCATCAAGTCACATATAAGGGAATCATCGTTAGACTAACAGCAGCTTTCTCTGCAGAAACTTTACAGGCCAGCAAAGAATGGGATGATATATTGAAAGTGCTAAAACTACTCCAACAGCCAAACAATACTATACCCAGCAAAGCTATCCTTCAGACATGAGAGAAAAATCAAGTCTTTCCCAGAGAAACAAAAACTGAAGGAATTCATCACCGCTAGGCCAGGCTCACAAGAAATGCTCAAAGGAGTCCTACATCTGGCAAGCAAAAAAGACAATAGTTACTTTCACAAAAACATCCAAAAGTATAAAAACTCACTGGTAGAACAGACATGCAAAGGAGAAAGAGAAAAGACATCCAACCCCACCAAAGAGCAAATCTGTACCCCAAGATCCAGGTGCAACAATAGGTTCATAAGCCTATGAGCCTAGGACCCTGGTCCCACAGCCACTCCAAGCACCTGCAACTGGAACACAGTGCTACTAAAGCTGCTTATAGGCCATGTCAGACCTAACACCAAGAGGGATCTACTACCTACTTACTACAGAAAACCACCAAACTGCAACGATAAGACAGAAAGAAAAAATAAAGCACACATAAAACAACCGGAAAGCAATTAACAAAATAACAGAAGCAATTCCTCGCATATCAATAATCATTTTGAATTTAAATGGATTAAATTCCCCACTTAAAAGATACAGTTGGGCTGAATCGATTTTAAAAATCATGACCTAACAATACACCGCCTACAAGAAACTAACTTCACCTGTAAAGACACATATAGATGGCTGGGAACAATGGCATGCACCTGTAGTCCCTGCTACTAACGAGGCTGAGGCAGAAGGATATCTTGAGCACAGAATTCAAGGCCAGCAAGGACAACATGGTAAGACTCCATCTCTTTTATTTTTTTTTTTTTAAGACACATATAGACTGAAAGCAAAGGGATGGAAAAAGATATTCCATGCACTGGAAACCAAAAGTGAGGAGGAGTAGCTACATTTATGATAGATAAAACAGACTTTAAGTCAAAAACTGTAAAAAGAGACAAAGAGGGCCATCATATAATGATAAAGGGATCAACTCAGCAAGAAGATAAAACAACTATAAATATATATGTACTCAATACCAGAGCACCTAGATAAATAAAGCAAATACTATTAGACTGGCTGAGGACTTGATTATCACACTCTCAGAATTGGACAGATCATCTAGATAGAAAATCAGCAAAGAAACACTTGATTTAAACTGCATTTTAGACCAAATAGGCCTACCAGATATTTACAGAAGATTTCAACCAACAGCTACAGAATACACATTTGCTTCATCAGCACATGCAACATTTTCCAGGATAGGCCACATATTAGGCCACAAAGAGGTCTCCAAATACAAAAGAATTGAAATTATATCAAGTATCTTTTCTGACCACAATAGCATAAACTAGAAATCAGTAACAAGAGGAACTTCTGAAAATGTACAGATATGAAACAAAACAGAAAACCCAGAAATAAATCTATGTATTTGCAGCCAACTGATTTTTGACAAAGGCACCAATACCATAAGTTGGGGGAAAGAACAGCTTCTTTAATAAATGAAGCTGAGAAAACTGGATATCTATATGCAGAAAAGTGAAACTAGACCCCTATCTCTCACCATACACAAAAATCAACTCAAAATGTATTAAAGACATATATGTAAGCCCCAAAACTATGACACTACTAGACGAAAACACAGGGGAAATGCTTTGGGACAGTGGTCTGGGCAAAGATTTTACGGAAAAGACCTCGAAAGGACAGGGAACAAAGCAAAAATAGACAAACTGGATAATATCAAACTGAAGCTTTTGCACAGCAAAGGACAATCAACAGAGTGAAGAGAGACTTCAACAGACTGAAGAATGGGAGAAAATATTTGCAAACCATTCATCCAAAAGATGATTAATACCTGGAATATGGAATACTCAAACAACTCAATGACAACAAAAGGAAATAATCCAACTTAAAAATGGGCAAATAAGCTGAAAAGACATCTCTCAAAAAGTCATATAAATGGCCAACAAGTATATTAAAAAATGTTCAACATCACTAATCATCAAGGAAGTGTAAATCAAAACCACAATGAGATATCATCTCACTTCAATTAGAATAGCTATTATCGAAAAGACAAAAAATAACACACTGGCAAGGATGCAGAGAAGGGAATTCTTACACACTGTTGGTGGGAATACAAATTATTATAGTCATTATGGAAAAGAGTATAAATGTTCTCAAAAACCTAAAAATATAACTACCATATGGTCCAGCAATCCTACTGATTAGGTATTTATCCAAAGGAAAGGAAATCAGTATATCAAGGAGATATCTGCATCCCCATGTTTATTACTACAGCACTGTTCACAATAGCTAAGATATAGAATCAATCTAAGTGTCCATCAACAGATAAAAGAAAAAAGGGGCCAGGCGCAGTGGCTCACGCCTGTAATCCCAACACTTTGGGAGGCTGAGGCAGGTGGATCACCTGAGGTCAGGAGTTCGAGACCAGCCTGGCCAACATGGTGAAACCCCATCTCTACTAAAAATACAAAAATCAGCCAGGTGTGTTGGTGCACTCTTGTAATCCCAGCTACTCGGGAAGCTGAGGCAGGAGAATTGCTTGAACCCAAGAGGCGAAGGTTGCAGTGAGCCAAGATCATGCCACTGCACTCCAGCCTAGGTGACAGAGCAAGACTCCATCTCACACACACACAAAAAGGAAATGTGGTATATATACACAGTAGAATACGATTCAGCCATAAAAGAAGAAAATCTTGTCATCAAAGTTGTGCTCGTAAAACTAGAGAATAGAATGCTGATTACTAGAAGCTGGGAAGAAGTCAGGGAAGAGAAATTGGGAGAGGATAATTAATGAATACAAAATTAAAGCTAGATAGGAGAAATATGTTCTAGTTGTTCTAAAGTCCTATACAACACTGTAGGATGACTATAGTTAATAATAATTGATTGTAAATTTCCAAACAGTTGAAGAGAGGATTTTAAATGTTTCCAACACAAAGAAATGATAAAAGTTTGAGGTGATGAGTATGCTAATTACCAATTTGATTATTACACATTATACACATGTATCAAAATATCACACTGTACCCCATACATATGTATAATTATAAAAATAATAAAAGTAAACAAATCAATATAAATACATACATACATACATACATCCACTATGGGTAGCACAGGGAGAGCTCTGATGCGCATGAATTTTAACATGATTTCTATGAAACAGATTTAATTTTACAGACTCAAAAAAAAAAGTATAGCCCTATCTCACACCCTATACAAAAATGAACTCAAACAGATAAAAGACCTAAATGTAAGAGTAACTGTAAAACTCTTAGAAGAAAACATAGGCATAAATCTTCCATCCTGAGATTAGGCAACCCTTCTGACACCAAAAAACATAAGCAAAACAGCAAAATTTAAAACTTTTGTGCATCAAAACATAGCATCATGAAAGTAAAAAGAAGGCCAGTTGTGGTGGCTCACACCTGTAATCCCAAAATTTTCAGGGGCCAAAGCAGGAGAATCACTTGGGCCCAGGAGTTTGAGACCAGCCTGGGAAATATAGTGAGACCCCATCTCTACAAAAAATAAAATATTAGCTGGGTACGGTGGTGCACACCAGTAGTCCCAGGTACTTGGGAGGCTGAGGCAGGAGAACTGCTTGAGCCCAGGAGGCAGAGGCTACAGTGTGCCATGATCGCACTACTGCCCTCCAGCCTGGGCAATAATGCAAGACCCTGTCTCAAAAAAAAAGAGTAAGTAATAAGACAACCCACAGAATGGAGAAAGTATTTGTAAATCATACATCTGATAAAGGTCAATTATCCAAAATATATAAAGACTTCTACAACTCAACAATAAAAAGACAACACAATTAAAAATAGGAAAAGGATATGAAGAGGCATTCCTCTAAACAAGATATACAAATGCCCAATGAAAAGACACTATATGTCATTAGGGAAATGCAAATCAAAGCCAAAATGAGATACCATCTCACATCCACAAAGATGGCTATAACAACAACAACAACAACAACAAAAAACAAAACAGACAACAACAAGTGCTGACAAGAACGTGGAGAAACTGGAACCCTCATACATTGCTGGTGGTAAGGTACAGCCACTTTGACAAACGGTGAGGCACCCTCTCAAAAAAGTTAAACACAATTACCACATGACCCAACAATTCCACTCTACATGTAAACCTAAGAAAAGTGAAAGCATACGTCCACACAAAAACTTGTACACATATATCCATAGCAGCACTATTCATAACAGTCAAAAAGTAAAAACAACCCAAATATCCATAAATTGCTCAATGAATAAACAAAATGTGATATATCCATGCAATGGAACATTGTCAGCCATAAAAAGGAACGAGGTCGTGATGCATGTTACAGCCTGGATGAACCGTGAAAATATTACGCTACATTAAAGAAGCCAGACACAAAAGGCCACACAACGTTTGATTCCATTTACACGCAATATCCAGAATAAGCAAATCTATACAGACAGGAAATACACTAGCGGTTGCCAGGGGCTGGTGACAGAAGGGAGGAGTGAGTTACTGCTCAGTGCGTACAGGGTTTCCTTTTAGGGTGATTAAAATGTTCTGGAATTAGACAATGGTTGTACCACTTTGTGAACATAATAAAACATCACTGAATTATACACCTTAAAGGGTCAAGTTTATGGTGTATGAGTTATATCACAATAACAAAATTTTTAAATCTCTATACCAACTATTTTTCCCTCAGCAGCCAGAATGAACCTTTTAAAACACAAAGTAGACGATTTAACTCCTATGCTCAAACTTTGAGATGCTCTCCCATCTCACTTGAAATAAAATTCAAAGTCCTTACCTTAGCCTACAATGTCTTAAAGAATCGACTTCTCCGATTTGGGTAATGGGTATACTAGAAGCCCAATCCCCAGCAGGTATGCAATATACCCATGTAACAAACAAGCCCATATACCCCCTGAATCTAAAATACAGAATTGATTTGTCTGAATTCTTTGCCTATTACTTCTCACCCACCTCCCCACATCCATGCAGCCACCGGCCTCCTGGCTCTTCGTTAGTGTGCCAACCACTCTGTACCCTCAGGGTCTCTGTCTCTTCCCTCTACCTAGAAAATCTTTCCCCAGATAAATGCAAACCTGAGACCCAAACTCCAAATCTCAACTCAATGTCACTTCCTTAAAAAGGCCTTACCTGGCCACCCTACCCCTTCCCTATTTTGTTTTCCTCATAACATTTATCACAATCTCACGCATTATGTACTAAATTTATATATTATTTATCTTCTGTCTTACTATACTAGAATATAAGCTTCATGAAAAAAGAGGCTTGGTTTTTGTTCATGGTCATATCCCTAGAACCTTAAACAGTGTCTGCCAACTAATAGATTCCCAATATGATCTGTTCAATGAATAAATAAATTAATTTAATAAAATGTAAGAGAAAGTCACAACTAGGTCCTTTGAGATATTATCATATTAATAGAAACCGCTCACCTGTTCCAGGTTATTATACTGCACACGGCAATAACTGCAATATCCTTGTCTTTTCTGCATCTTGAATAAATAACTGAAGTCAGATGGCTACTGTCTTTGAATACTCAAGCTGAAAAACAAAAAGAAAAATGGTAAAAATCATAATTCCTTACTCTTATGAGGAAAATGGCTATGATAATTAGCAGAAAACAGAAATTCACTTCTAATAATTAGGAAAATATACAAGGCTGCCATGAGCCACTGAATAAATAAGTGAACCTGGAGCAGAGACAAGAACTATGTATCTTATGAAAGAGCAGTTTGTTGCCAATGTTTGAAGACTAGATGACTGAATATTTAGTTTTTCTAATAACTTATTAGAGATATTAGATATTGATTTAGTAACAAAGAATACAATATTCAATTTGCGAAGACCAATTACTTCTAAGATATTGTTATGGTATATTTACTATACTCTAATGGAGCTCATTAATTTCCCCATCATGTTTCCATATCAAACCCCAGATTATTTGACAACGTCTCATTCTCTGTTATCATGAGTGTAAAGACACCACATGGCATTTTCTGCTCAGCTCATAGAGAGGCAGGTTTTTAAATAATTTATCCAACACAGTTGCTAAAAATCAGAACAACTAATTTAGCCTCTGAAACACAAAACACTTTTCTTCTGACAATTATGTAAGCCAGATAAATAGGAGGGATTTTTTTCCTATTACTGTTTAGATTTCTCTACAAATAAATAGTTTTCCAGTTTCCACTCACCTAAAAGTATAATCCTTCAACATTACATACTGCATGGTTCCCAAACCAGGCTGAATACCCAAAATTTTAGTAGAGCTAGGGTGAGCCTAGGATTCAGAATTTTTAAAATTCCCCCAGTAATTTTCATGCCCTACCAATGTATTAACTGACACAATGTACATATAATTTATGATTATTTTAAGTAAAAAATTTAATGCAGTTTATTTGCTGCTTTGTTAAGCCGAAAACAGAATTACAAATAATTTTGTATTTCAATTAATTTAAGCATTCTTATCTGTTGGAAAATATATAACAATCATTCTATAACATGTTATGAGAATTTCTGCAATGGAAAAAATTTAATCATTAAAATCAATAACTGAAAAATGAAATCACAGCCTTAAAACCATAAGATGAGGGGAAAAAAGCTTCATTAAGTCAAAATGCTAGCATAATATTTACTTACCTATTACTTCTTATTATGAGAAATTGATTTTCTGACTTCTCACATTTATGAGGAAAATTAATCAATTAAACCAGCCTCTGACACAAAAAACATGTAAGACATTACTTACTTAAAATTTGGTCTCTTTTCCACTAATTTACTTCACTTATTAACCTACAGCAATAAAACAGAACAAACTTTTATTTTAAATTGTACTTACACATAAGGCAAATTTCAAGCTGAGAGAACCTAGAGCTTAAATGTAAACTTTGAAAAATCCTAAAATAAACTTTTGGGGGATTGAAAATATAATTAAAACATTCATTGAATAAAGGACAAAAGTAAACCATTAATCTAATATCACATACACACAAAATGTAAATACTTAAATATTTTTGGTCTTTAACCCTATGGCCCTTAACTCCTGTGGCATTATCACCTGCCACTTCCGTCATCTCTAGTGCCTTAATGACAGTGAGTTACAATAAACCAGAAGCATGTGTTGGCATTTTTAAAAATTAACATGCCAGGACCCCATCAGAAACTTAGCAAATCAAAATCCCAGTGGTCAAGGGAACCCAGGACATACGTTATAAAGCATATTTAAAATGCTCAAGGCAGCTGGGCATGGTGGCTCATGCCTGTAATCCCAGCACTTTGGGAGGCCGAGGCAGGTGGATCGCCTGCGGTTAGGAGTTTGAGAACAGCCTGGCCAACATGGCAAAAACCTGTCACTACTAAAAATACAAAAACTAGCTGGGTGTGGTGGCAGATGCCTATAGTCCCAGCTACTCGGGAGGCTGAGGCAATAGAATCGTTTGAACCCAGGAGGTGGAGGCTGCAGCATGCCGAGGTCACACCACTGCACTCCAGCCTGGGTGACAGAGCGAGGCTTTGTCTCGAAAAAATAAAATAAAATAGAATAAAATAAAATGCTCAAGGTGATTCTGCTGTAAGTTGACTCAATAACATAAGTCATTATTTTTTATAAACTAATAAAACTTATTTATTAAAGGGATCATTTCTTTAGGGTCTGGATTTATATTACTTTGCATGCCTAAATAGGTATTTTTATACAAACTCTGAATTCTCCTAGAACCTGATATTTTTATAAAGTAAAAAATTATTTACCTGGAGCAGAAAAGGTCAGGTATTTCATCAGCTGTATTAGTTCTGGCAAGTATCTGTAAATTAAAATAAAATCATTTTTTAGAAGAGGTCCCATAAGTGTCTACCATTGACCAAATAAATACATCCAGATATATTGTGAACGGTGACATGTTTCCAATAATATAAGAAAAAATATTAACTTTGGAGTACAAAGCACTTTACATACTATGACTCACTGAATCTCACACATGACCTCCTAAAGTTCTGGCGCAGTGACTGTGATGGCCCATCTAACCCACCATCAAACACTGCAGGTCTCTAGGTTCCTGGAACAGTAGCTGTAAAAGACTATAAGGCTCAATTGTGCCTCTGGTAAAGTTGAGAGCAAAAATGCTGTCAAACCCAAAATGAGCTTCATGAGAAACTTCCCGAGGCTCAGGTACCACGTTAGCTTTAATGAAAAATACTGTCAATTCTTTTAACACCTATCTATATCAATACACTATTAAGCAGAAGCATGTTTTTTATTCCTCCGCATTGTTGTAGGCAAAGTGCTGCTCCTTATCCAGGATCACTGGTTAAGAAAAAATTCCAACACATAGGCTCAAGAGAGCCAGTGACACCACGGTATAATCAAAGAATAACTATTAAGCACCCACTCAGCACAGAGTTCCATGCTAGAAACTTTAAGGGATAGAGACAAATATGAGACAAGTTTTCTTACCCTCAAAAAATTTAAAATGAAATTGGGAAATTAAAGCCAAAGAATGAGGTGCTGCCTAAGAAATGCCTCAGCAAAAATAATAAATGCTAATGAGTTCAACGCAAAGTTCAGTTTTAGCTAGAGCGGCGAGGGATGCCACTGTGGATACGGTTTTTTAACCAGATACTGGAAAATGGGTAGGATTTACTCACTCAAAGGTTGGGAAATGATACAACAAGCAAAGGTACGAAAGTAAGAAAATACAAAGTACATTTGGAGATAGTAAATTAATAAATTCAGCTGAATCTAAGGTTTCATTTGAGAATTTAAGGGGCAATAAACCAGGGCAAGTAGATTGGATTTTGACATGGTAGTATTCAAAAGCATACTAAAGAATTTAGACCGTATCTTTAGGCACTGTGGAAGTTTTTTTGGAAAGAGGTATTCTTGAGGGTGCTTTAAGAAAATTCTGGAAAAATGATTCTCTCCTACTCAAAGGAGCTTTTCAAAGCGTAAGGGATATAACTATTAACTACTCAGCACCATTTCCTAAAATACTGGAGAATTACTTAATTCCCGAAATCTCCAAGTTAAGAGTCAGTATCCCTTAAAGCATAGTCATGTATGCTTACAAAATAAGAAAATACACATTTAATTTTTCTTTAAAAAATGACTTTTATTAATTTTTATTACAAAAGTAAAGCATTTATAATAGTACAATTATAAAAATAAAGAGCATAAAAATCAGCCATAATCTACCCACCATTAACATGTATCGTATTCGTCTTTGTTCTAAACATATTTTTACAAAAATGGGAAGGTACAGTACATTCTATTCTATAGCCACCCTCTCTCACTGAACCACATATAATGAGCACCTTCATATACCATTATAAAATGCTATCATAAAATAGGAGAAAATAGAGTAAAATAAAATAGAATGTTTAATGATTGCATAGTATTTCATTTTGTCAGTGTAGATAAAAGCCCTGTCAAGACAAGAACCAGTAGTTGGTGGGTTAACTTCTTAAAGTCAATCAGTAAGATAATTTTTTAAATGCACACATAACCTTAATATTTAACTTAAAACTTCTAAATGTATATATGTTTAAGATCAAATGGGGCTTTTTTGTTTCATTGGTATTTTTAGTATGGGGACTGTTGCTTTTTTTTTTTTTTTTGGACAGATTAGCTAGAGTTTCGAGACATGTCTTTTCACAAACAACATCGTAATTCACCCGAGTTTCCATTTTTGTTCCTCTAAAGCAGAACAAAAATCTGAAGGCAGTTTCAAATCTGAGAGCAGAATTATCATCAATGTTAAACATTTTTCCCCAATGTCATACCCAGTTAAGTACTTTGCAAATATAGCCTTTTTATGAATCCAAAGCATTCTATTTATTTTTCATAAAAATAATAATGCTATTTTTAAAAAATGACTATGTTCACCTTCTTATTTCATTCATTTATGTAACATTTAAAATTGCATAAACCTATCCCAGGCAGTGAACAGAGATTTCTGAGCTACCCAGATGACTTAGGCAGAAATGTCTTAAAATACAAATAAAACAGCATTTTGTTTTTGGTTTTTTTTTTTTTAAAGAAATATTTCTTGCACACCTGAGATCTGCACCAGCTGCAGAGGTAAACATGGATAAAAATATTTCTGAAATGAGTCTGGAGTTGTCGTGTGTGTATTTCTCAAACTGAGTGTGGCGTGGCAGTGTGGTAAGAACTAACAAAACCCACAATCCTCATAAAACATATTTTTCAACTGCCTGACAAAAGAGACATCAACTTAATTTGAAAAATAATAATAATAAGGAAAGACAATAGAAAGGCATTTGGTTTTCTGAATAAGACAATCTAAATTTTCCGTCCAGCAGTAGGGAAACAATTGAGGAGCAATGACAAAACAATGGCCGAATGCATAAAAAGACCACACTAATTCAGTGTCAGTTCCTCCACACAACACTACTAATTTTCAATTTTCCCCTTTTCTGGATTATCCACGCTATGCTGGCTTTCCTCTGGTGACAAGCATTATCCTAGACACCTCTATTCAGTCTTAATAAAATAATAATAGCTAATACTTAGTACTTAATCTGAGCCAGGCGCTCTGTCAACAGCTTCCTGTGCATTATCTCATCTAAATAACAAACAGCTTTATAAGGTAGCTGCCATGATTAATTCCCATTTAACAAATCAGGGAACTGAGGTTGAGAGAAAAGAGGTATCTTGTTGCAGGTCTCACACCAATAACCAGCGTAACTGAGATGTGATCACTGGTCAATTTGAGTAGTTTATGCTTTAACCTCTTAACGACTTAGACACTTCCTCTCTGTATTTTTAGGAATACTACTTGTTTTAATATTAGGTGAAAACAAATAATTAGGACTCTTATTTGCTGCAATCAACATCACCACTATTCCAAAGAAAAAATAAAACTAATGTCTAGTTTAATTGCATCTTGCTCATTTGAGTGCTGACAGTACCTTGGATTAGCGACTCTCAAGATTATTTAACATGACACACAGGAACCAATAAATTTTTAATTACAACCGAGCACACACGCACAGGCACATACGCACACTTAAAAGATTTTTCACAAAACAATACTCTCATTACATGTAATGCAGTCTGATATTTTCTATGCGATCTTACTTTTTTTAATGCTAGTCACGACCCACTAAATTTCACAATGCACACGCGCACAGTTAAAATATTTTTCACAAAACAATACTCTCATTACATATAATGCATTCTGATTTTTTTATGCGATCTTATTTTTTTTTAAATGCTAGTCATGACTAAATTAATTTCACCATTCACGAACCGGCTGAAAAAACTCAGTTTGAAAAAACACTGCCTCCAATTATTATGCAGAGTAAACCATATTTTATAGAAACCAGTTCTTACCCTGAATTCAGCTTATTTCTATCCAAATCACTGGCCACTGCAGTGATACTTTATCAACTCTCTAACGAGTTGCTTTCTTGCCTTCTAGGCTTTAGGTTCAAACGATAGAGAAAAGGTCTTCCACGTATTAAGTGAAAAAAGCAAATAAACACCCCTTATGTAACACACGTATATATGTTTGTGTATTAATTAAAAAGGAAGGAAAGATACCCCCCAAATTGTTAGCAGATTCTCTCGAGGATGAGATCGCTACAGGCTGCCTCCATCGTCCCTCCCCCTCCCCACACGTAGCATATTGCTGTAAAAAAGAAAAACAAAAACAAGCTATTTCCTTTAGGTGGGGGTGGGGTTTTGGTCCCTTGAGAACCAGTATCTTGTTATGCATTTTTTTCACGAGCTACCAAGAATCATCGCGTGAGATAATCGCAGGAGCTGGTAAGGCCCTTCTTAGGAGCAAGTAAAAACGATGGCGTAACACGACCACATTTACACAACTGTTGCACGGCGGTAGTAAAAGAATCATTAACACAAAAATCAAACGTTTTCAAATAAACTATAATCGCCCGAGGCTGGGAAAGGCCTAGGTCTGGGGCCAGCTGGACCCAACGCAGGGCACTGGGGGAAGGGGGTGTGTGGACAGGTGGCTCGGGATCTCGGCCCCACAGGTGCCCAGGGGCAAGACTCCGCGGGTTCCCGGCCCTCAATCCGACCCCGCAGACCGCCCCCTCCCCAAGCCCGGACCCGAGGCCTCGTCCGCCGGCCCCTCTGACCCAGGGCCCCGGACAGAAGCGCAATGCAGCCTGCGCCCCACCTCCTTCCCTCGCCCCGCCACCTCGATCCCGGCCCGGAGCCGCCGACACCTCTCACGCAGCAGGGGCAGAAAGGGACGCGGGGTGGGGGGAAGCCGAGGACCTGCGAGGCGGCCGCGGGAGCCCAGCGAGCGGTCCTGGCGTCCCTCGGGAAGAAGGCGCCCCGGGCGCCCGGCGAGCAGGCCCCGCCCGCGGGCGTCGCCCCGGCCGCGCCCCGCCCCCGCCGCGGCACTCACCTCCGCGGAGGCTGCCCGGATTCCTTCCGGGCCGCGGTGGAGACCGAGGACCGAGCCGGGCGCTCTCCCTTCTTATTCCGGTTCCGCGGCGGCGCCCGAATCCCAGACCGTCCGAGCGCCACGGCCCCGCTGCCCGCGGAGCCAGAAATAGGCGACTTCGGCCCCTGCGGTCCGGAGGCGAGAAGCGGCGCGGGAGCGCGTCTCTCAGGACGCGGGCCCCGAGTCGCGACTCCACTCACGCAGGCATCCAAGGCAACGTGGCGTTGCAACCCTGATGGAGGTTTGACGTCAGGGAAGGTGCGAAAACCAGACCCCTTCTGACGCAGGAGCGGCGGGACCGCCCCCTGCCCGCCCACCCACTCACTCACTCTCCCACCCGGGCGGAGGAGCCCCTTCCTCCCCTCCAGAAGCTCTTAAAGCGGACACTTCCTCCCTGGTCAGGGCCCCACTCCGGAGCTTGGGAAATCTATCGCGTTCCAACAAAAATGACTAGACTCATAAGCACAGTTGGGACGCGAAGTAGAGACCAAGGTTTTAGCGTTTGAGGGTCCAAATAAAAACTGCTTGCCAATTCAAAGCAACGTATGAATGTAGAAAAGAAAACGGGGCTAAGAGAGCTAGTCGTTTCCGTTTCCATGCCTATTTCATAGTGAGGTGCATCTCACAAAAGCTGCTGTTCAATGAGCGCTTGCTCTGTGCTAGGCACCGTTTAAGGTTTCTATACATTATTGCATTTCATTTCAGAGTAACTCTGAATGAATCCTATTATTGTCCCCCTTTGACAAATTGAGAAAACTGAGGCTTAAGGAAGTTAGGTATTCAAAGATCTATCCTGCACATTAAAGGGTTACAAATATTAACAAACAACATTAGGTCATGCAATTATATTCACTGCGCTACCCCATTACGAATATAGTTGTGAGCAAAAACAGTTTAAGTGTAACGGAGATCACAAACCTAAATGAATCACACTACTGAATATGAAATTATAATCTGCGATAAGAAGGTTCTGAAACACCTAAACCAATTTTACTAAAATGGAGAGAGGCCCTGTTGCAAAGCTTATGTCTAATGTAAAAATAATCTTAAAATGAGCTACTTTGCTCTTTGGCTGTAGCTGTAATTGTCGTTACCCTTTTTAGTAAGCTTGTGATTTTGTCCCTTTAAAGAACAACAACAAAAAAACTTGCCTATTGCTTTTGCGTCCATTGTTTTTATTCTTTCTGTATTTCTCAGCTCCTTCTTCCCCCACTACATCTTTCTCTCACTTTAAAGTTGGGCTCCTGCAACTGTTCGATTTATAACCTCCCTTAGATTTAACATACCAAAAAGTACGGATTTCTTTTAAGGCAAGTTTTTTCCACATCCCAACTTTGGAATTATAGAAAATCCACTATACATTGATCGAAGCACCATGACATTATGTATTTCACAGATGCTAAGCCATGTTTTTCCCCACATTTTAACATCTGTGAAATCAAGATGCATCTTATAAACTCTCGTTGACCGGGTGGCAGTACAGACCTGGTTGTCATTACCTCCACGTATTACAACGTGGATGTTGCTGTGCAGGTTGTCCTCATTTCAACTGAGATAAGTGCATTGTTTAATAAAACCCATAACCCTAGGAGGAAGGGAATTAACAGACAAAAGTCACTCAAACTTGGAGAGAGATTTTCCTAGGGAAAGAGGGAAGATTTGCCTGGAGAAGATTTTCCTAGGACCAAAAAGAGATTTCCCCAGCATTTAGAAAAGAAAGAGATGGGACTGGCTAAGAACTAGTAGTCTTCTGGGAGCCCTGAGTTACTTACCAAGTACATTCATTCTTGATGGATTTTGGGAACCCATATATGAACAGTTAAATACTAAGCCTACTTGCACCCCCCAAAAATGAAATAACTTCGATATTATTCTTGATAGCCTGATTAGTCAGTTACAACCCCTACAGCTTTTATTCAATAACACCATTGAAGGAGGAAAACAAGTCCTGAATGTTTTGCGTGAAAACACAAAATTGACATATTCAGGTGAGATCAAGAAGGTGCCAGCATCAAAACTTGCAGAATAAGATCAGCTGCTTGGAAGAAAATCCTGCATACAATAGTGCAGCATTCTTCCTTCCTTTCTCTCCCTCTCTGTTTTTTGTTTTTGTTTTTGTTTTTGTTTTGAGACAGGGTCTCCTTCTGTCACCCAGGCTGGAGTTCAGTGGCGCAAACACGGCTCACTGCAGCCTTGACCTCCCAAGCTCAAGCGATCTTCTTGCCTTAGTCTCCAAAGTGGCTGGGACCACAGGCGTGTGCCACCATGCCTGGCTAATTTTTTTACTTTTTGTAGAGATGGGGGTTCTCACTTTTTTGCCCAGGCTGGTCTCGAACTCCTGGCTTCAAGGGATCCTCCCACATTCACCTCCCAAAGTGCTGAGATTACAGATATGAGCTGTAACTGTGCCCAGCTGGAGCATTCTTAAAGTTAGATGCATCACCAACACTTTTGGTGGAAAGCTACAGCCATGGACAACTGATTCAAAAAGTGATTCATAAAAGTTGAGCTCTGGGCTTGGCGCGGTGGCTCACGCCTGTAATCCCAGCACTTTGGGAGCGCGAGGTGGGCGGATCACCTGAGGTCAGGAGTTTGAGACCAGCCTGGCCAACATGGCGAAACTCCATCTCTACTAAAAAAAAACACAAAAATTAGCCAGGCATGGTGGTACATGCCTGTAATCCCAGCTACTGGGGAGGCTGAGGCAGGAGAATCACTTGAACTTGGGAGGCGGAGGTTGCAGTGAGCTGAGACCGTGCCACTGCACTCCAGCCTGGGTAACAGAGTGAGACTTCGTCTCAAAATAAATAAATAAATTAATTAATTAAAAAAATAAATAAAATGAAAGTTGAGTTCCGAATATGAAGTTTCTGAAATACCTAAACCAATTTTACTTATATGTCTCTTTTTATGCATTCACAAGATCAATGCATAATAAATGTGTCAAAGTCTGAGAGTGCTCTTTTACTGAGTATGAAATAAAAATAGGCCAGGTATGGTGGCTCGCACCTGTAGTCCCAGCAATTTGGGAGGCTAAGGCGGGAGGATCGCTTGATCCCAGGAGTTCAAGACCAACTTGGGAAACAGCGAGACCTCATCTCTACAAAAACTACAAAAAAATCAGCCAGGCATGGTGGTGCATGCCTGTAGTCCCAGCTACTCAGGAGGCTGAAGCGGGGGAATCACCTGAGCCCGGGATGTAGAGGCTGCAGCGAGCCGTGATCGCACCACTGCATTCCAGCCTGGACAACAGTGTAAAACCCTGTCTCAAAGAGAAAAAAGAAAAGAAAAAAAGAAAAACACTAAATTACAAGAAATTGTGTTATAGTTTAGTTGGCAAAATTTTTCTTCCAACATGATACTATCATAAAACATCAAAGGGAGTGCCATTCTGCATCAGATCAGCAGTCCGCACAAACCAGATTTCCGTCTACTGGCAATGGGCACGTTTTGTGGGAGAGCTTAGTTATCTATAAGGTTAAGCTCCAAAAGTTGTAATTTCCCCCTCAATTCTTTATTAACCCATTACAGATCTAAACACATTACACATCTAAACATATTTAAAGGACCTTAGAGATCAGGATTGGGTTTGTATGTACTTCATTTCCTCCCCCAACATATTTGGTCCAGGGAGAAAAAAGTGCTGAGTATGTGTTATTTCACATGCTTCCTTCTTTTAAGGAACACCAAAACCTGCTCTTTTGTGTCTAGAAAGCACTCCAATAATGTCTACATTTTGTAAGCCATTTAAGCTAATATTAGGCTAATGTCTTAAGGAAAGGCTATTTGGAAAAAACAAGATCTCATAGCTGGGTCATAAAAGAATTGAGATTTCACCAATTTAGAGTGTGGACTATGTCTTTTCCCAAATTCTATTACTGTGTGCTTCATTCTACCTATTTACAGTCAGGTGAGGTCATTATAAAGCTTTTACCCCGAAGCCTGGCATGTTAGGTCTTTAAAAAGTAAAATGTTTTCTTTAAGCATAAAGGGATTCATGCACATGCCCCATCCAAATCATTATTTTAAAATAATTGTGGGCCGGGCACCGTGGCTCACACCTGTAATCCCAGCACGTTGGGAGGCTGAGGCGGGCGGATCATTTGAGCTCAGGAGTTCAAGACAAGCTTGACCAACATGGTGAAACCCCATCTCTTCTAAAAATAAAAATTTGGCTGGGCATGGCGGCTTGCACCTGTAGTCTCAGCTACTCAGGAGGCTGAGGCAGGAGAATCGTTTGAACCCGGGAGGTGGAGGTTGCAGGCAGCCGAGATCACACCACTGCACTCCAACCTGGAAGACAGAGTGAAGACTCCATCCCAAAAAATAAATAAATAATAAAATCAAATTAAATTACTGTGAATGGTCAGAAAATATCTTCATTTTGTCATGTTGATTCCTCCCTGTAAAACAGATAAAAGTTTCATTTGCAAGGTAGAGGGAAAGATGGTAGTGTTAAATGTCCTCATCTTCCTGGTTGTTGGAACAAAAATGTTGTTGAAGAAAATGCAGGCCGGGCGCAGTAGCTCACGCCTGTAATCCCAGAACTTTGAGAGGCCAAGGCGGGTGGATCACGAGGTCAAGAGATCGAGACCATCCTGGCTAACACGGTGAAACCCCCTCTCTACTAAAAATACAAAAATTAGCTGGGTGTGGTGGCGTGTGCCTGTAGTCCCAGCTACTCGGGAGGCTAAGGCAGAAGAATTGCTTGAACCTGGGAGGCAGAGGTTGCAGTGAGCCGAGATGGTGCTCCTGCACTCCAGCCTGAAGACAGAGTGAGAATCCGTCTCAAGAAAAAAAAAAAAAGGCAGGCTGGGTGCAGACGCTCATGACTACAGTCCCAGTTACTCAGGAGGCTGAGGTGGGAGGATTGCTTGAGCCCAGGAGGTCAAGGCTACAGTGATCTGAGATTGCATCACTGCACTCCAACCTGGGCAACAGAGTGAGACTGTCAAAAAAAAAAAAAAGAAAGAAAGAAAGAAAGAAAAAAGAGAGAGAGAAAGGAAAGGAGGAAGGGAAGGGGAGGGGAGGGGAGGGGAGGGCGCGGTAGCTCATGCCTGTAATCCTAGCACTTTGGGAGGCTGAGGCAGGCGGATCATTTGAGGTCAGGAGTTTGGGACCAGCCTGACCAACATGGTGAAACCCCGTCTCTACTAAAAAATACAAAAAAATTAGCCGGGCTTGGTGGCACGCACCTGTAATCCCAGCTACTCGGGAGGCTGAGGCAGGAGAATCGCTTGAACCCAGGAGGTGGAGGCGGAGGCTGCAGTGAGCCAAGATCTTGCCACTGCACTCCAGCCTGAGCGACAGAGCAAGACTCCGTCAAAAAAAAAAAAAAAAAAAGAAAGAAAGAAAGAAAGAAAGAAAAAGAAACAATGCATGTTAAAGTATATGGCTTTAAGTTGCAGAAGTATACAGTAGGCAGTTGCGGAATGGCAGTATAACTAAGTGTGGGGAGAAGAGTACAAGGGGAAATCGTGCAAATGAGTTATTAATAACTCCTCATCTGTCATGTAGGAATTTAATATATTATATAATGTCTACAGCCAGCAAATCACTGAATAGCAATATAAGCCTTTTTTAATATAAACATACAGATGATCCACCTAGGACAAAATAATTTTTTTAAATAGAGACCGAGTCCCACTCTGTCACCAGGCTGGAATGCAGTGGCATGTAATTCACTGCAGCCTACAACCTGGGCTCAAGCGATCATCCTGCCTCAGACTCCCAAGTAGTTGGGACTACAGGTGCACACCACCACATCAGGCCGATTTTTTTTTTCTTTAGAGATGGGGTCTTGCTATGTGGCTAAGGCTGGTCTCAAACTCGTGGCCTCAAAGGATCCTCCCACCTCGGCCTTCCAAAGCACTGGGATTACAGGTATGAGCCACACCACACCCAGTTCAAAGTAAAATTTTAAAAATAGTTGCTTCTGCTTATCAGGAGTAAATGTGGGCAAAGGAGTTGCAGGGGTAAGAAACTACAAGTATAAAATCATGATAACATTTTCCCCCACATGAATTTAAAATTATGCATAGTGTGATTTTTAACTTCTCAGCTGTAGTCTTTACATTGTATTCTTCCTTCATTCTAGTCTTTTCCACTTTACGTTGTATGGAAACATTTGTAATACACCTCCTTCATACAGGCATAGCTGGGGTGTTTGTTTCCAATAATTCTCTACCAATTGTTGCCATATTCTACTCCTTTCTCTTTTTTCTTTCTCTATTGCTCCTCTTTGTTTTTTACTCACACGTTTTTTTCTCCTCCTTTCTCTTTTCCTGCTAATAGAAACACAATCGGTAGCCCTCAAAGAGTGCTTTTAACATCTGTTGATAATTGGGGCTGAAAATGCTATGAACGTCACACTTGTTTCTTTCTTAAATTCAAAAATCATCCAAAGTTTATGTCCTCTAGAGATTTAACTTTAAAGAAAGAATTACTATTGCCTTTTAGACAACGAGGTCATCAATATGAAAACGATATTACTGGCCGAGCGCAGTGTCTCACACCTGTAATCCCAGTACTTTGGGAGGCTGAGGCGGGCGAATCACCTGAGGTCGGGAGTTCAAGACCAGCCTGACCAACATGGAGAAACCCCGTCTCTACTAAAAATACAAAATTAGCCGGGCGTGGTGGTGCATGCCTGTAATCCCAGCTACTCGAGAGGCTGAGGCAGGAGAATCGCTTGAACCTGGGAGGCAGAGGTTGCTGTGAACCGAGATCGCGCCACTGCACTCCACCCTTGGCAACAAGAGCAAAACACCGTCTCAAAAGAAAAAAAAAAGAAAACTATATTATTGAGCTGTTCTATTTAAACTCAGACATTTTCAGCAGTTAACTTGCAACAATAAAGCAATTTATATTCAAATAGAATAACTCTATAAGGAAGAATTTAGAGGCTGTGAATTCCACAGATACTATTTTTTAAAATTAATTGGTAGTGTTCAAATATTAGGATATGGTAAGGACTCCAGAAAATGTTGTTATGCTAGAGCACTACAAGTCAAATTGGATTAACTGTATGTTCTTATTTTCTGTATTATTGATGCAATTAGGGCCTTTCGGACCTGGGAAACCACCTCTCTCAGGTTTAACTCATTCCCAGAGATAACAAACAGCTTGCCTGCCAGCACGCCTTTGCTATGCAAACCAACGAATCACCTGTCCACCACCCCTAGCCATCTCCTTTTATCAGAACTCTACAGCCTGGGACACTATCCCCTGTCCTATTTACTATAGCGCCAGGTACTAGACCACCAGGGACCCACCCTATAACTCAGAATTCGCTGAAACCATGCAAACTATCTAATCCTAAATTTGCACCACTTGCTTACTTTGTTTTGCCCATTCTTTCCTGAAAATATCATAATAAAGGCTCTGCCAGCAGTTCCCCTCTCTCTACACTTCCTCACCCCAATTTGTCACTTTCCTGTGTGGCCCTGTGTAGTATGCCTGCCTCCCATGTCTTGGGAATTGTGGGTATAATAAAAAATGTGCCGGGCATGGTAGCTCATGCCTGTAATCCCACCACTTTGGGAGGCCGAGGCGGGCAGATCACGAGGTCAGGAGTTTGAGACCAGCCTGGCCAACATGGCAAAACCCCGTCTCTACTAAAACTAAAAAATTAGCCGGGAGTGCGGCACGCGCCTGTAATCCCAGCTACTCGGGAGGCTGAGGCAGGGAGAATTGCTTGAATCCGGGAGGCAGAAGTTGCTAGGAGCTTAGATTGCACCACTGCACTCCAGCTTGGGCAACAGAGCGAGACTCCATCTCAAAAAAAAAAAAAAAAAAAAAAAAAAAAGAAAAGAAAAGAAAAAGAAAAAACAGTATTCCTTTCTGGTGATCATTTGCATGTCTGGTGTATGTGCCTTACTATACCTGCTCAAAAACAAGGCCAGGGTATATTTTTAGAACAGTTAGTACAGCGAGCAAGCTAGGTGGTGTACACCACATGGAGACAATGAGTCTGTAGAGTTCTTAGTAACTGGCCCCAGCAGACGGCAGCCACTGCCTGAGAGGGCACCCCAATGTTGGCACCTCGCTGCTTGCTGGCTACTGCTTGTGTTGTTTTTTAATGGGTATTACCATGATTTTTCAACCTAAAACTGGGGGGCTGGAAAAGCTGAGTTCTCCCTGAGCTGTCCCATAGATTGCGGTGAGGAGCACCACGCTGTGTAGATTACCGTACGGATCACCATGCACAGTGCCAAGCAGCAGAGAAGGAAGAGTGCAGAACCCTTGGCACATGAAAACCCCATCCGAATCCCTGCACTGAGACCTGATCAAACAAGTCTGGCTTCTGGCAGCATAAGGCTGTGTCCCTAGAATGATCCCAGGCCCCTAAATAGTGCCTGCCTGAGAAAGCTAAGTGCTGCCAGGAAAATCTACTATGTGCTCTAGCCAGCACACATCTGATGATAGCTCCTTGACCACACTTTCTTAGGGCACTTACCAAAAAGTCCTCACAATTGTAACTCAGGAGCATCTCTCTCAAGGATCTGAGAGCCATTCCTTCAAAATATAATCATCAAGAAGGATAAGGCCTCCGTCTCCAACTCTCTGTGGGAGGATAGATCCCTAATTCAGATAACTGCCTGCTAGCAGACACAGCTGACCTAATCACGTTTATATTGACCAATGCTTTGTACTCTTTTCTTTGGAGCTTGGAAGTCATTTAATCTGGAAACATTATTCAATATATATGCTTAAATCACAAACAACAGTTCACAAGTGTATATATATTGTTTCCTGGATAACACACTGAAGAGTCAAAAGTGATAAGAAGCACATTTAGAGCAATATCCCTAGAATTAAAATTAATTCTAGAACAATGCCAAAGAGCCAAAATTATATTACTGTGCTTAACAATGCAAAAAGTGTAGGTTTTCTCCATTCAGTTGGGCATTGATTATATATTACCCATATAGTATTTCAATCAGAATCAAAATTTTCAGATGCATTACCACTAATAACGGGAAAAGTTCTTAAACCTTGTTCCCCTCCGGCTCTAAGTTGGTACAAATGTTCTTTCATGTGCTGAGAAATATGGCAAATTCACCCTTCTATGCCAGGTACTGCAATTACTGCTGATGGCTTATCTGATTCTTCCTCGAAGGCTGTTAATAATGATGATTTGTTCGTAGTAGTAATCAAATTCATTCAATGGCCTGAAAGACACTGCTTCCTTCCCTACAAAATTTTTATCGATTAAAAGTGATTCATGATGACTGTGGAAGGTACTTGTACAGTTTCTGTGTCAAACATTCAAGAACAACTATCAGGCATAACGTAACTATCTTTCCCATGTGCAATATATTGTTTATAGCAGCAAGAAGGTAAATTTTTTTCGTATGGTCCTTGAACTTTCACAGTATCTGTTATCTATCATTCAGTGTCCCAGTTCCGCATCTGAATTGAGTCCAAATTCTATTCCAACAACTTGAGAAAAACTCCCACCAAAAGCTGAATATTTGTTAACCTCATTTTCAAGACCTTCAAGCAGCTGTGCCTGTGTTACTCTGACAACTAAAACTGGGGTCCATTATGAGAAGGATAGCCAAAAAATCACGCAAAGCGAAATTTCCCACTGGATGTATTCAATTAGATCTGGAAGTACCTGTATGAAGCAATGCTACATTGGCATGAATAGCTTCCAACGTGGCATTAGTTACCAAATTTCCAACGTTGCTTCGGTTCTTCTTACAGTAATTTCACAGCTATTTAATTCCGTATCAATTGGGTGGAGAACTTCTAACATACACACGTCCAAGAGGTTCAGAAGTAAATCTATCATCAACATTACTGAGAAATCAGATGAAGTGCATTTGTTTCATAGATTCTTCCAAAATATTCACACCGAAATCAAACTTGTGGTTTCCAAAAACTGCAAAATCACCGGGTGCAGTGGCTCACACCTATCATTTTAGCACTTTGGGAGGCTGAGGTGGGAGGAGGATTGCTTGAGGCCAGGAGTTCAAAACTAGCCTGGTCGACATGGTGAGACCTCTGTCTCTATAAAATAAAATAATATAATATAAAACAAAACATTAGTTAGGCGGTGTAGTGCGTGGGTGCCTGTGGTCCTAGCCACTTGAGAGGCTGAGGTGGGAGGATCGCTTGAGCTCAGGAGGCTGAGTAGGTAGTGAGCTGTGTTCCCACCAATGCACTCCAGCCTGGATGACAGAATAAGACCTTGTCTGAAAAAGCAAAACAAAAACTGCAAAAGGTACTTCCGATTCATTAATATAGGAATCGTATGCTTTCCTTTCGTTATGATACTTAAAACTGAGGCATTTAAGCAATCGCCACTAAAAATCAAAAGTGGATTCAGAAAATTGAAGTTTTTCACAGCTGCTGCAAATTTCCGTTTATTAGTTTACTATAAAGGAAACTACCACGTATGTAGATGAACAGCCAAAGGGAAGAGATACACAGGGCAAGTGCGCGGTGGGAGCGGGAAGGTTCCACGTCCTCTCTGGGAGGACACCCTCCAGGAACCTCCACGTGCTTCGCTATCCGGAAGCTCCCCTTTGCACTTTTTCACTTCCCCGACACTTCGGAGCTCCTTTATTCCCGTCTCCCTCATTCTTTCTTTAAAACACCCAAATCACCTCTGCCGAAATCGGAATAAGCTCAGCTCCTTCCCTACTTTCAGTAGTTACTGAATAAAATCTGTTTTTTCACCACTTTAACTCACGTCCAGCTGTGTTTCTGACAATGGTCTGGTAGGCAACTCGGGTCCAGATGGGAACCACCTACCTCCTGCAGTTTGGGTATCCAGTGGAGAATCGGACTTCACATCCAGTGTCTGAACAAGCATTTATTCAGGCACATTGAGGACAGGTTTTCATTCTTTCAATTCTTTTTTTTTTTTTTTCCCTCCGAGGCAGAGTTTCACTCTTGTTGCCCAGGCTGGAGTGCAAGGGCGCGATCTTGGCTCACTGCAACCTCCACCTCCTGGGTTCAAGCAATTCTCCTGCCTCAGCCTCCCAAGTAGCTGGGATTACAGGCATGCGCTACGACGCCCAGCTAATTTTGTATTTTTTTAGTAGAGATGGGGTTTCATCTTGTTAGTCAGGCTGATCTCACACTCCGGACCTCAAGTGATCCACCCGCCTCAGCCTCCCAAAGTGCTGGGATTACAGGCATGAGCCGCCGCGCCCTGCCTGATTCTTAACAATTCTGAGTATACTCTCAGAAGCTGGGTTAGAGTCCCAGGCTTCTTTTGAAAAGTACCTCCTAGGCTGGAAGTTCTTGCTGGCTCCTTGTTCTGATTAGAATTCATTCCCTGACCCCTGGAAAATTTTGTTTCCTGGCTCCTCACGACATCTTTCTATTCTCTCTATTTGAGCCTGTTTCTCTCACAGGAACTTCTCAGTCAACCGAAACCCCTGTTCCTCCAATCCTGCGTCACCACGATGGTCCCAATACTGGCCGGGTTCTTTCTCCGCGGCAGAAGTTTACTGAAGATCTTGAATTACAATGGCCCTCTGGGGCTCCTCGGATATCCCCAAATTAATCCACCTAAAGGGACACCCAGAACAAAAAGGAACAAAATTCTCAGATGCATGATGGTCTGCTTATTTAAGGAAGACGCCAAAAAACAGTGAAATAATTCATACCTCACTCAAACCACTGAGGCTTTTACATCATGCCTTCAGAAACATGTTTTTAACCCAGAAAACCCCATAGCAATTCCATATCCTGCTCCCAGCTCTCTCCTGCATCCTTCTCTCCCAGAATGTCCTCTGCCAACTGAACCTCAATGCCCCTCAACTCCCTGTAACCTTAAGATTCATTGGGCCCTGATCTCCTACAGATGAAGCCAGGGTACAGCAGGCCCCTGTTCCCAAGCTAGACTGAGGAAAGAGACATAATTTAAACTTCGGTCTTGGTCTGATTTATATGCCGTCACCCGTGAAAGGAAAGGAAAAGGAAAATTTACTGAACAATTCAGAATTGTCCTGGGGTCATACTCTCCCTGACTTATAGCAATGTAACCAGCTCTTGGTTGAACCTGGAGATGCCGCCTTTTGGTTTAAAAAAAACCAAATGGACCACCATTTCCGGGGACCTTTTTTCTCAGCCTATCCCTGACCCCTTCTGAAGACTGAAAGAAATAAGAGAGAAACTACTGGGAGGCATCCCTCAGTTCTATCCCCTTTTCTCTTCACAGTTTTGAGTAGCTGACCAAAACCAATCAGCCATATACTCAAAACTGTATACAACAAAGGGATGAAACTGTGGCAAACTATCGTCATCGACTGGAGAAAACAAGGAAGGAGCATTCAGGGTGGGTACTGATTTCCCCAAAAAACCTCTGCTCTGGCCACTAGAACATGATAAATGGTCTCAGGGTGGAGTTCACACATCACAAAAAAATAATATCAATGCCTGGTCGCGGTGGCTCAAGCCTGTAATCCCAGCACTTTGGGAAGCTGAGGTGGGCAGATCATGAGGTCAGGAGATCAAGACCAGCCTGACCAACATGGTGAAACCCCATCTCTACTAAAAATACAAAAATTAGCTGAGCGTGGTGGTGCACGCCTGTAATCCCAGCTACTCAGGCGGCTGAGGCAGGAGAATCACTTGAACCCAGGAGCGGGAGGTTGCAGTGAGCCAACATCGTGCCATTGCACTCCAGCGTGGGTGACAGAGTGAGACTCTGTCTTAAAAAAAAAAAAAAAAGAAAAGAAAAGAAAAGAAAAAATAATATCAACTAGAAAAATGCAGACATGTATGAGCTTCAGACATTAGTCCAACAGTATAAAGGTAGCATTTCCAAAGAATCGGAAAACACAAAGGTTTGTGGCAATGCAATCAATGTAATCACAACAATTAGAAAAACCCTAAGATTTTAACCCATGGGGCAAGCTCCAAAATCATGGGTTCCCAGTGATCTGGAAGCTTGTCAATACTGTAAAGAAAAAGAACACTGGGTCCAGAATTGCCCAGCTCTCAAGAGGAGGGAAAACTTTCAGGGCCCTTCTCTTAGAAAATCACTGACTCCCCTCCGAGGAAGTAAATGTCCAGCACTTTCAACTGCCACCAGACTCAAAGTTGAAAGGCACTTCACCATGTTTTATTTATTTATTTATTTATTTATGAGACAGAGTCTCGTTCTGTCTCCCAGACTGGAGTGCAGTGGCATGATCTCGGCTCACTGCAACCTCCACCTCCTGGGTTCAAGCAATTCTCCTGCCTCAGCCTCCCAAGTAGCTGGCACTACAGTTGCGCGCCACCACAGCCGGCTAATTTTTGTATTTTTAGCAGAGACGGGGTTTCATCATTTTGGCCAGGCCAGTCTCGAACTCCTGACCTTGTGATCCGCCCGCCTCAGCCTCCCAAAGTGCTGGGATTACAGATGTGAGCCACCGCGCCTGGTCCACGTTTCTTATTGATACCAATACCTGGACTGCACAATCATCTACCCTTAACACCACCCACCACCCCGGTTCCTGTGCTCCTTCCTCAGCATTACCAGACTTTTTCAGTAGCAGGTTTTGATCATGTGTCTCACGATTTGCCTTTCTCAACCTCTTAATGTTTTGGGGGGCCTCTTAAAGCTCAGTACAACCTTTTTTCTCAATTATCTCACCCTCGTAAATCTGTTAAGAAGGGATCTTTTCAGGAATTGGAGTATCAAAATTCACTATGCCCACAAGGGACCCCTCTCAAACTCCACCCTCCCCCGCCATGTCTGTCCCCTAATGGCTTTGTCTGACTTCTCTGAGTTCCTCTTCCCCCTTCAACCTAGCAATGCTCTGCTAAGGACTTACATCGACTGTTAGACAAAATCCTTCCTTTGTGGGCAACAAACTCCACTGGTACACGGCCCGCAGAATTCCTTAAGGTGGAAACAGATCTTCCCACGCTCCTCCCCAAACTGCCCAAAATCATTTAAAACCATGGGGACTTGAAGGGCTCCACCCAATAACCCAAGATTTATTAGACAAAAAAAGGCTAATCCCCACTTCTAGCCTAGGCAACACTCCCATTATGGCCACTACAAAGCCAAACGGAAGAGGATTTTCAGCCAGTCCAAGATCTGAGAGCTTTCAATAAAACTGTCAAACCCAGATTTCCCCTGATGCCCAACCCTAATACTATGCTGGCTGTGATCCCTTCCAAAATCTAATATTTCACCTGTCATCAATTTGCGTTCAGATTTTTTCAGCATCCTTTTTCATTAAGATTCCAAGTATTTGTTTTCCTTCACAATCAACAATATATCTGGACAACAATATATCTCGACAGTTATGCCCCAAGGATTTACTGAGGGTCCTATTTAAGGGACTTAAAATATGCAGGAAACTCCACTTTATTTCAATATGTGGATGATGTTCTATCTCCTGCCCGTTATGACAGTGCTCTTCTGAACCCTTAAGGCATTAGCAATAAAGAGCCACCAGGTGGCTAAAGACAAAGTTCTGCATTCAATATCTGGGTCATGATATCTCAGCCACAGGAAAAACTATCTCCACAGACTGGGCTTCTACTATTCAACAGTTTACTCTGCCAGAAACAAAAAGACAATAGAGAGGATTTTGGGGTCAGAAACTGCACGATCTCTCTGTAACTGCCTTGCCCCATATGCCCACCTGGTCGCCCAGGACCCCCTATCCAAAGATGCTTTTGAGAACCTTAAGAGCTCTGTTTTTGATCTGTCTGACTAGCCAGGTGTCCCCTTCCTCCTGAAGCTGTGAGCTCCGTCAAAAAGGACAACCTACTCTGATAGAGGAGGATCACTCTTCGATGGAGGGTATATGAGTAGCTGCACTCCCCTGTTAGAACCTCCAAACAGGCTCTCAAGGGCTCTGTAATTTCACATCCCACCTTGGACTTTCTGATTACTCCCTACTTTCTTCCATGTGGATTTCTCCCTACCTTTTTCCAAGTGGCCAGGCAGCACCGCTTCAAGAAGTCTCTCCGTGCTTGAAGTCTGCAGGCACCAGTACCCTCAGACGCCCTCCCTCCTGCCAAGATGCCCTAGAGCAAGTTCCCCGCAGCTGAAGGGGCAGCGAAGGAAGAGCCGAAGTGAAGACTGGTGAGGTTATCAGCTAAAACCGCCCCTACAAAAGTGAAAACAAATCCAAAACAGGCAGCAGGAAAGGATAAATCTTCACACAAACAAATGAAAAAATGCAAAGAAAAGTATAAGACAAACAGGCCAAAGTAGCTGCCCCAGAAAGTAAAGATTTTCCTGCAGAAAATGGAGAAACTGAAAATAAGGAGAGTCCAGCCTCTGCTGAAGCAGGAGAGAAAGAAGCCAAGTCTGGTTAATATCCTACACCCTTGTCTTATCAGTGGTCCCTGTCTTCCTTCTTGTGCAATTCTGAGAAATATTTTTATCAAATACTATATTTTGTAAACGCACAAGTAGCTCTGTAATTTTTTTTTTTTGAGACAGGGTTTTGCTGTCACCCAGACTGGGGTGCAATGGCATGATTATAGCTCACTGCAGCCTTAATTCCTGGGCTCAAGCGCTCTTCCCACCTCAGCCTCCCAAGTAGCTGGGAGTGCAGGCACGAATCACCATGCCCAGCTATTTATTTATTTTTATTTTTGATGTTTAAAGAGATGGGGGTCTCAACACATTGCCTGGGCTGGTCTCGAACTCCTGGCCTCAAGCAGTCCCCCCATCTCGGCCTCCCAATGTGCTGAGATTAAAGGCATGAGGCACTGCATCCAGCCTATGAATATTTTTAAGAAGGAAGAACTATGATTTTTAAAATGTAAATGCTTTTTTTGTTTGTTTTTGAAACAGGCTTTTGCTCTGTCACCCAGGCTAGAATGCAGTGGCAAGAACAGGGCTCACTGCAGCCTTGACCTCCTGGGATCAAGGAATCCTTCTGCCTCAGGGTCCTGAACAGCTGGGACTACAGGCCTGCGCCACTGTGCCCGGCTAATTTTTTTTATTTTTTGTAGAAACGGGTTTTTTGCCATTTTGCTCAGGCTTTGCCATGTTGCTCAGGCTGGTCTTGAACTCCTGGGCTCAAGCAATCCTCCCACCTCAGCCTCCTAAAATGCTGGGATTACAGGCTTGAGTCACTGCACCTGGCCTAAGTGCTTTATTTATTTATTTATTTATTTATTTATTTATTTATTTTTGAGACAGAGTCTCACTCGGTCGCCCAGGCTGGAGTGCAGTGGCACAATCACTGGAATCTCCACCTCCCAGGTTCAAGTGATTCTCCTGCCTCTGGGACTACAGGCGTGTGCCACCATTCCCCAGCTAATTTTTTTATTTTTAGTAGAGACGGGGTTTCACCGTGTTAGTGAGGATGGTCTTGATCGCCTGACCTCGTGATCTGCCCGCCTCAGCTTCCCAACTAAGTGCTTTTTTTAAAAAAGAGGCAAAATCATATGCTGTTTATTTTTTATACAACCAGAAAACAGTGGGATATAAATTATGGGAGCACTTTACTGTTGTGGGTGTCAACTTAACAAACCGTAGGTGGAGAGGGTAGTTTTATATCCTGTAATACAAAGCTGTAGGGAATTCTTACAATTTTATGTTGCCTGGCATCCACTTTGAATATAAGTTGGACTTTGTCGTATTGAATATAATATAAAATTGGACTTTCTCATACCAGAAGCAGGGCTTAGTCACCCTTGACACTGTTTCCAGTTCTCAACTCTCCACCTCCTCTCAGTTTCTCAAGGTAGATGATCCAGCAATCTACTTCATACACCATCTCCTGGTGACCACCTCCCTAGAGGACAGCTAGGCACAACCTACTAGACTCACCCACTGGCTCCCACACCCTGCATAGACTGCACAGATATGTCACAGTGCCCCCCTCCCAGTCACAGCATGCGTGCCCCCACGGAACTCATGCCTGCTTGCTCTAAACCCCCCACGGGGACCAGGTGCAGTGGCTCACGCCTGTAATCCCAGAACTTTGAAAGACCGAGGTAGGTGGATCACCTGAGGTCAAGGTGTTCGAGACCAGCCTGGCCAACATGGTGAAACCCCACCTCTACTAAAAATACAAAAAATTAGCCAGGCGTGGTGGTGGGCCACCTGTAATCTTAGCTACTCGGGAGGCTGAGGCAGGAGAGTCGCTTGAACTGGGAAGGCAGAGGTTGCAGTAAGCCGAGATCATGCCCCTGCACTCCAGCCTGGGCAACAAAAGCCAAATCCCGTTAAAACAAAACAAAACAAAAAAAAACTCCCCGCAGGAAGCCTGCTTGGGTGACGCCCTGGACCCTTCTAAAGGCTTGGCCCACAGTTCCCCTGCACACTCTTGCTTGCTCCCCGCCCGCTGCCTAAGCGTGCATGTCCCAGATGGCTCCCCGCTTCTCGCTGGCCCTGCAAGACGTGCTGTCCTCTTCTCTCTGGGATCTGTCAGTGACACACTGCTTTTGTTGTTGTTGTTATTTCACGTGTTTCGTTGTGTTACCTCTGCTGTGTCTCACCTGAGCTAAACACTGGAAGCGAACCCTCCTGCCGGTCAGGGCTCTTAGAGGGAGTATTCCGGCTTCAGCGGAATAACCTGGACATAGGTCAGACAAGAGCCACAAGGGCACCTGCCCATATAAACAAGCTTCCTGTGAGAGGGACACCTGGATACAGGCTGGACAATCAGGCATTAGGTCAGGATAAAGAAGTATTCTGTGAAAAACACAATATAAGCATCCTCTTCAGGGCAGCCCCTTCAGGACAGGCTAGACTTCATAGCTACTGTCTGTCTCAGGAGCAAATTAGAGGAAAGATCAAATTAGAGAAAAATACAACTGGCACAGCAAGCAGGGTGTGTGGTCACAACCACAAGGGGCACAACAAAATGCCTTTGACCTGCGTGTGGCTTGCTGTGGCTCTTCCCCCATGGCTAGCACCATGTGGGGAAGCAGAACTGCTTGCTGGAGGGGTGTGCTGCTGCTATGCGGGCTGCATAAAGCCCTCTGTTGTCTGTTGTTCACCGTGTCCGCCCTAAAGCATGAGGTTGCCATTATCAACCTAAGTCCTCCCAAAAAGAGCCATGCGACCAGGCGCCTCTGGTCTAACAAGAATAGACCACATAGCAGCTCCTGATTGACTAAGGTTAAAGACAAGACAGATTAAAGACCAGGTCCTCCCTGCCTCAAGCCAAGGAGAGCTGAAGGGCATGGAACAATTGCAAGATTGCTATCTCCGCCCAAGGTGGGGCTAAATGCTAAAGTGAACCAGGAAAGTAACACCCATAGCAAAGGAGGGAGTCTTCCCTCACCCCTCCCACCCCTGACCTCCTACTACACCGCACCCCCCACCCAACCCCCCAACCCCTGGCCTATGTGTCCTAACCCCAGTGGGAGGAATAATCTCACAACAGGAAACCAATGGCACCACCAAAGGTGAAATACCGCCCAGACCTGGGATCACTAGGTTGGGACCTTACCTTATTTCTTTTGCTCTCTGTCAGAGCTACCGGCTACCACCAGGAGCTTGTCAGGTGAACATCAAAAGACAGAGGGGGAAAAATGGTAGTTGCCTAGAAATAAAAGCCATTCTAAATATTTTACTTTCAAAAGGGGTTGGGGGGGTGCGGGGGGCGGGTGGGCGTGATGGCTCATGCTTGTAGTCCCAGCTACTCGGGTGGCTGAGGCGGGAGGATCGCTTGAACCCAGGAGTTCAAAGCCGCAGTGAGCTATGATTGCACCAGTGTTTTCCAGTCTGGCTGACAAAGCAAGACCCTGTCTCTAAAAAAAAGAAAAAGAAAAAGAAAGAAAAGAAAACCACTCCTTAATCTTTACTCTCCCTGTCAGAATTCTATGCACTCGGCCGGGGTGTGGTAGCTCATGCTTGTAATCCCAGCACTTTGGGAGGCTGAGGCAGGAGGATCATTTGAGGTCAGGAGTTCAAGACCAGCCTGGCCAACATAGTGAAACCCCGTCTGTACTGAAAATACAAAAACTAACCAGGCATGGTGTCACTCACCTGTAATCCCAGCTATTCGAGAGGCTGAGGCAGGAGAATCGCTTGAACCTGGGAGGCAGAGGTTTCAGTGAGCCGAGATCGCGCCACTGCACTCCAGCCTGGATACTTATTGAGATTCTGTCTCAAAAAAAAAAAAAAAAAAAAGGATTATGTGCACTCTGTAATATCTTTGGTTATGGTAGTCCATAACCAAAGTTATTTCCTAATAACTTTGTTAATATGCCGCGGAAGATTGAAAATTTGGGCAGGTAATTTATATGATATTACATTGTAAATTAACAGCTCTTAAGGAAAATTTGCCCCAAGCTTTTAAGCTGGGAAGTCACTGGAATCGTTTTAGAAAAGACCACAACAACATGGCTTTTGAGATTTTCATTCTAGTATGTTAAGAATTGTATTCAAATACAAATGTTTGTGTACTGATCCTCAACACAGCCCATAACATGCCCACTACTAAAGAAAAAAGAAACAAAAATAACAAGTGTTGGCCAGAAAATGGAGAAGCTGGGACCCTTGGGCACTGTTGGTAGGAATGTAAAATAATACAGCCATTATGGAAAACAATATGTAGGGCCCTTAAAAAAAATGAGCCAGTCACAAGAGGACTCCTATGGAGGATCTAAAGGAGTCAAATCACCAGGTGTTGTGGCACACACCTGTAATCCAGCTATTTGAAAGGCTGAGATGGTAGGATTGATTGAGCCCAAGGAGGTGGAGCCTATAATGAGCTGTGATCCCACCCCCACCACTGCATTCCAACCTGGGAGACAGAGTGAGACCCAGTCTCTAAAACAAACAAAAACAAAAACGGCCAGGCACAGTGGCTCATGCCAGTAATCCCAGCCATGAGGGACGATCCCTTGAGGCCAGGAGTTTGAGACCAGCTATGGCAACATAGGGGAACTCTGTCTCTATAAAAGATTTAAAAATTAGCAGGATGTGGTGGTGAGTGCCTGTAGTCCCAGCTACTTGGGAAGCTGATGTAGGAGGATCACTTGAGCCCAAGAGTTCGAGGCTGCAGTGAGCTATGATCACAATACTGCATGTGCACTCCAGCCTGGGTAATAGAGTGAGACCCTGTCTGAAAAAAAAAAAAAGAAAAAGAGAGAGAGAAAGAAAAGAAAGACTAAATAAGGTAGTCAAAATCACAGAAACAGTAGAAAGAGGTTACCAAAGGCCAGAAAGAGGGAAGGAGAATCAGTGTTTGCTGTTTACAGACTTTTAGATTTGCAAGAAGAAAAAGTTCCAGGGATTTGTTGCATAATAATGTGAATATACTTAACATTACATTACTGTACGCTTAAAATGGTAAATATGGTAAATTTAATGTTATGTGTTTATTGCTACAAGTTTTAAAATCTTGAAAAGAGGAGGGAGAACAACGGACAGACTGGTTTCTAGGGCCTTCTCTGTGGGCTCCAAGCTACAGTTCATTATCTTGGAGAAGCAGCAATTTGCTTAGAGAGCATCAGGCCCTAAAACTCATGATTTACTAGCCGGGCGCGGTGGCTCACGCCTGTAATCCCAGCACTTTAGGAGGACAAGGCGGGTGGATCACGAGGTCAGGAGATCAAGACCGTCCTGGCTAACACTGTGAAACCCCATCTCTACTAAAAATACAAAAAATTAGCCGGGCGTGGTTGCAGGTGCCTGTAGTCCCAGCTACTCGGGAGGCTGAGGCAGGAGAATGGCCTGAACCCAGGAGGCGGAGCTTGCAGTGAGCCGAGATCCCGCCACTGCACTCCAGCCTGGGCGACAGAGCGAGACTCCGTCTCAAAAAAAAAAAAAAAAAAAAAAAAAAATCATGATTTACTAAGACTCAGACTCTCCAAAACCAGTCTTTATACAATTGGGGATGCACCCTATAGCGCAGAATCTGCTGAAACAATGCAAACTATCCAATCCTAAATTTGTGCCATTTGCTTACCTTGCTTTGCCCATTCCTTCCTGAGAAATCCACAATAAAGAGTCTGCCAGTGCTTTCCCTCTCTCTACGCCTGCTCATTCTGCTTTGTCACTTCCCTGTGTGGCCCTGTGTGGAGTGACCCCCCTCCCGTGTCTTGGGGACTGTGAGTATAATAAAATATGACTTGTTCGTTGGCAATCATTTGCGTGTCTGTGCATCTTATTATTCCTGCTCAAAACAAGACTGGGGCATATTTTTAGGGCAACTAGAGCAGCAAGCAGGACAGGGACACCAGATGGAGATGATGAGTTCATAGAGTGCTCTGGGCTTAGTAATGCGCCCAGCAGACAGTGGCCACTGCCCAAGAGGGCACCGCCAGTGTTGGCAGCGTGATGGCTACTGCTTGCGTTGTTTTCTATTGGGCATTGCCATGCTGTTGCAGCCTAAAGATGGGGAACTGGAAAAGTTTGAGTCCCCAGGGAGCTACCGTGGAGAGTGCTGCATACGGTAGCGCAGGCGGCTCCAAGTCGTGTAGAGTGCCGCCGGCGGTATTACATGCAATAGAGTGCTGCGAACGGTTCCAAGACAGGAAGACCGGGGTGTGTGGTCCCATAAAGAATTCCAAGACAAAAAAACTGGGACCTGCGTTCACTGAAAGAATCCCAAGATGAAAAGACTGGAGCATATTTTACCCCTAAAGAATTGTAAGACGAGAAGACTGGGGTGTACAGCACCGCAAATGATTCCAAGACAAAAAGAGGGAGAATACAGTACCTCCAAAGATTCCAAGACAAAAAAACTGGGGCAACTGGAAGTAACCAAGATGTCTCTCAAGAGGTGAACATAAATGTTTAAAACTGTGGTACTTTGAAAAAAACAGGGGCATACGGTCTTCCAGATAATTCCAAGATGAACCGGGAGTACCCCAAAGGATTCTAAGATGAAAAGACTGCGGTGCACGGTACTGCAAAGAATCCTGAAACAATCCTGAAACAATAACACTGGGGCATACGATTCCCCAAAGACCCCAAAACGAAACGATTGGGGCATCCATCCCAGAAAACAATTCCAAGACAGATGACTGGGACTTACAGTCCCTGAAATAATTCCAAGATGAAAAGACACTTCCAAGATGACAAGATAATTCCAAGATGACACCGCAAACGATTACGACACAAAAAGATTAGGGAGTCCAGCACTGCAAATGATCCCAGGATGGAAAGGCTGGGGCATGCGATCTCTCAAAAGATTCCAGGATGAAAAGCCTGGGGCATATAGCCCTGCAAATAAGTCCAAGACAAAAAGACTGGGCATAGGGTCTCTGGAAAGATTCCAAGATGGGAAAGACTGGGGCATAATACAGTGTCCCCAAAGATTTGAAGAGTACAGCCCTGCAAGTGATCCCAAGATGGAAACACTGGGGCACACGGTCCCCTAAAGAATTCCAAGATGAAAGAACTGGGGCGTATGACACTACAAATGATTCCAAGACGAAAAGGCTAGGGAATGGCTAGGCACAGTGGCTCACGCCTGTAATCCCAGGACTTTGGGAGGCCTAGGCGGGCGGAACACGAGGTCAGGAGATGGAGACCATCCTGGCTAACACGATGAAACCCCATCTCTACTAAAAATACACAAAATTAGCCGGGCATGGTAGCAGTTGCCTGTAGTTCTAGCTACTCAGGAGGCTGAGGCAGAAGAATCGCTTGAACCCGGGAGGCGGAGGTTGCAGTGAGCCGAGATCACGCCACTGCACTCCAGCCTGGGCGACAGAGCCAGACTCCATTAAAAAAAAAAAAAAAAAAAAAAAGACTAGGGAGTAAAACACTGCAAATGATTCCAAGATAAAAAGACTGGAGTATACGGTTCCCTGAAAAATTCCAAGATGAAAAGACTGTGGTATATAGTCCCCCAAATAATTCCAAGAGAAAAAAAACTAGGAAATACCGCACTGCAAACGATTCCAAAATTAAAAGACTGGGGTGTATGACACTGCAAATGATTCTAAGACAGAAAGACTGGGGCATACTGTCTCCCAAAAGATTCCAAGATGAAAAGACTGGGGTGTACAATGTCACAAAGAATTGTAAGACAAAAAGATTGGGGCATACGGACTCCCAAAAGATTCGTAGATTAAAAGACTGGGGTGTATAGTCCCCCCAAAGAGTTCCAAAATGAAAAGATTGGGCCAGATGGCACTGCAAACGATTCCAAGACAAAAAGATTGGGATATACAATCTCACAAAAGATTCCGAGATGAAAAAACTGGTGAATACAGTCGCCAAAGAATTCCAAAATGAAAAGACTGGGGCATAAGCTGCCCCTAAAGATTCCAAGACAAAAAGTCTGGGTCGTATGGCACTACAAAAGATTCCAAGATGAAAAGACTGGAACATAGCGTTTCCCAAAAGATTTCATGATGAAAACATTGGGGTGTACAGTCCACCAAATAATTCCAAGATAAAAAGACTAGCGCATACAACACTGCAAATGACTCCAAGACAAAAGACTGGGGCATTTGATATCCCAAAATATTCCAAGGTGAAATAACTAGGGCATAGGGCATTGCAAGCGATTCCAAGCCATAAAAACTGGAGCATACAATCTCCCAAAACATTCCAAGATGGAAAGACTGGTGAATACAGTATCCCAAATAATCCCACAACAAAAAGACTGGGGCATACGGTCTCCCAAAAGATTCCAAGATGAAAAACGGGTGCATACGATCCCGCAAAGAATTCCAGGACTAAAAGACCAAGGGTACAGTATCCCAAAGGTTTTCAAGACGAAAAGATTGGGGTGTACAGCACTGCAAACAGTGCCAAGACAAAAGCACTAGGGCAATACGGTCCGCTAAAGGATTCCAAGATGAAAAGATTGGGAGTGCAGTTCCCCAGAGAATTTCAAGACGAAAAATCAGGGAGTACGCTACTGCAAACAATTGCAAGACAAACAGACCGGGACAGTCGAGCGCCGTGGCTCACGCCTGTAATCCCAGCACTTTGGGAGGCCGAGGCGGGCGGATCATGAGGTCAGGAGATGGAAACCATCCTGGCCAACATGGTGAAACCCCATCTCTACTAAAAATACAAAAATCAGCCGGGCATAGTGGCGCGTGCCTGTAATCCCAGCTACTCGGGAAGCTGAGGCAGGAGAATCGCTTGAACCCGGGAGGCGGAGGTTGCGGTGAACCGAGATCGCGCCACTGCACTCCAGCCTGGCGAGAGCGAAACCCCGTCTCAAAAAAAAAAAAAAACAAAAACAAAAACAAAAAAACAAAACAAAAAAAACCCGGAGCATACGGTCTCCCAAATGATTCCAAAACAAAATAACTCGGGCGTATGGCCTCCAAAGAATCCCAAGATGAAAACCTAGGGCATCCGGCACCACTAAAGATCCCAAGACAGGCCGGGCGCGGTGGCTCACGCCTGTAATTCCAGCACTTTGGGAGGCCGAGGCGGGCGGATCACCTGAAGTCAGGAATTTGAGACCAGCCTGACCAATATGATGAAACCCTGTCTCTACTAAAAATGCAAAAATTAGCCGGGCATGGTGGCATGCGCCTGTAATCCCAGCTACGCGGAAGGCTGAGGCTGAAGAGTCGCTTGATCCCAGGAGGCGGAAGTTGCAGTGAGCCGAGATCGCGCCATTGCACTCCAACCCGGGCAACAAGAACGAAACTCCGTCTCAAAAAAAAAAAAAAAGATCCAAGACGAAAAGACTGAGGCGTATGGTATAGCAAATGATTCCAAGATGAGGAGTGAGGCATAGTGTACTACAAAGAGTCAAACGTGAGTAGAGTGCAGCACAAGGTATGACATACAATAGAGTGCCGAAAAGCGAACACCAACAGTTCCGAGATGCTTAGAGTGCCGCCTACTGTCTCACATAAACATCCAGGCCCCAGGCTGTGCTCGGCGGCTCCCGCCTGGAATCCCAGCACTTCCAAGAGGCCGAGTGGGAGGATCGCTAAAGTCCAGGTGTTTGAGACCAGCATGGGCAACAAATCGAGACCCCGTCTCTACAAAAAAAAAAAAAAAAAAAAGGAAATTAGCTAGGCATGGTGGTGCGTGCCTTTAATCCTAGCAACTCGAGGATGAGGCAGGACGATCACTCGAGCCCAAGAGCTCAAGGTTACAGCGAGCTATGATTGCACCACTGCACTCCAGCCTGGGTGACCCTGTCTCAAAAGAAAAGAAAAGAAAAGAAAAGAAAAGCCCGCGGGGCAGGGTGGCCCATGCCTGTAATCCCAGCATTTGGGAGGCTGAGGCAGGAAGATCACTTGAACCCAAGCGTTTGAGACTCACCTGGGCAACATGGCAAGACTTCATCTCTACAAAAAGTCCAAAATTAACTGGGCATGGTAGTGTGCGCCTGTAGTCCCAGCTACTTAGAAGGCTAAGGTGAGGGGATTGCTTGAGCCAGGGAGGTCGAGGCTTCAGTGAGCAGTGATTGCACCACTGCACTGCAGCCTGGGTGACAGAGCGAGACCCTATCTCAAAAAAAAAAAAAAAAAAATCCCACCTAGAGACAGCATAGAACCTCTGTGCACTTTCCTATGTGGCTTGTCCTATGCATCACTCCCATCTGGCTGCCTCTGAGTTCTAGCCTTTGTAATAAACTGCAAATATAGGGAGTTAACTATTTTCCTGAGTTCTCCAAGCTGACCTAGTAAATGAACGAATGTGAGAAGCAGTCATAGGAACCCTGGATTCCTGTTGGCTATAAGAACAGGTTACAACCCAGCATCTGAAATGGGGGCAGTCTTGACTGAGCCCTTGACCTGTGGTTTCTGTACTATCACCAGATAGAGATAGAGTCAGAATTAAGTTGATTCGTAGGACACTACTTGATGTCCATAGAGACCTGGAAAATTGTTTGCTGTAGGAAAAACTGAATCTTGTGGCAGAAATATTAAGAATACCGTGAAAGTATAGAAAAAAAGTTTGTGGCCGGGCACGATGGCTCACACCTGTAATCCCAACACGTTTCGAGGCTGAGGCAGGCAGATTACTTGAGGTCAGGTGTTCGAGACCAGCCTGGCCAACATGGCAAAACCCCGTCTCTACTACAAATACAAACATTAGCCAGGCATGATGGCACACATCTATAATCCCAGCTACTTGGGAGGTTGATGCACAATAACTGCTTGAACCAGGGAGGCAGAGTTTGCAGGGAGCCCGGATTGTACCACTGCACTCCAACCTGAGCCACAGAGCAAGGCTCTGTCTCAAAAAAAAAAAAAAAAAAAAAAAAAAGTTTGTTTGTGCCATCATATACACAGTCTCTGGCATATAGTAATCTATTACTATAATTTCCTTTTCTAGCTCCAGTCCCCTCCAATTCCCTATCTTCCCTCTATTTCTAGTGTCCTTCTAGTTTCTATTTTCTTATTCTCAGCCCAACATAGATACTCCAAATATAATACACTGATCACAGGCACGAGAAAAATTTTTTAGCACAATCAGTTCTCATTTCTTTATCTGTGATCTGGGGAAGAAACCCATGAGTAAATCATTCTAGGTTTGCTGTACAAAGGACACAAGATAATGCATGTAAGTGCCTAGCATAGTGTCGGGCTCATAGGAAAAGCTATGCAATAGTAAAAGTGCACAATATCATTGTAATAACCTTACATGATTAATCCTTTTATTAGAATGTATTATGAAATATTTCAAACAACTAACATGACTTTGTTGAAACTTAGCAATTTCTTTTTCTTTTTCTTTCTTTCTTTTTTTTTTCTCTTTTTTTTTTTTTTTTTTTTGAGACAGAGTTTCGCTCTTGTTGCCCAGGCCGGAGTGCAATGGCACCATCTCGGCTCACCGCAACTTCCACCTCCCAGGTTCAAGCAATTCTCCTGCCTCAGCCTCCTGAGTAGCTGGGGTTACAGACATGCGCCACCACTCCCAGCTAATTTTGTATTTTTAGTAGAGACGGGGTTTCTCCATGTTGGTCAGGCTGGTCTCAAACTCCCAACCTCAGGTGATCCGCCCGCCTCGCCCTCCCAAAGTGCTGCGATTACAGGCGTGAGCCACCGTGCCCGGCGAAACTTAGCAATTTCTTGGGCTTCTAGTAATTTAGTGATCAATGGCTCCAATCAGAGAGTTCATTTGATGATATTATTTTAGATTTATGTTGAGAGTACCGTGAGCAACAAAATAATGGTTTCTTGCTGTAACAGTAAAGCTACACTGTGCTCATATTCCTTCCTTGACAAGTGGGACGTGCTGATCCTGTGATAATTTTCTATTAAAGGAGTTAATTTATTTTGCAGCAAATAATTTGTGGAGATGAGTTCATTTCCTGTGATGAATATCAGTACAACATAACCAGGTTACTTTCTATGATCTCACTGAGCTGCTATAATCCAACTGGCTAAAGAACTCATCAACTGTATACCTCAGCAAGAAAGAAACCCAGCTTTTCCAACGAAATTCTGTTGGGACACTCTCTTAAGTTTGATGAATACGTTATTTACTGATTGCTTGAGAAAAACATAAAAAGGAAGAGATGTGCATGCTGTAGGAAATTACTGAAGAGCAACCCAATCAATATGAGCAGATTCCACTTGCAATACCTAGAAGACAGCCTCTTTTAAAAAATCAACCTTTATTTATTTAAGGCTGAAACAAATGAGTGTGAATATTCCTGTGAATGAACTCTCTGATTGGAGCCATTGATCACTAAATTACTAGAAGCCCAAGAAATTGCTAAATATTTGAATAAAAAGGTAAAATGGCTGAATACTTGCTACAATCATTTTTTTCTCTCTGTTTTTAATACATTTCTGAGGAAATCTCAAAATGCCACTTATATACAATGTTTGGGATATTATAATCCCTCCTACAAGATAAGCTGTTTTCAGTGTGTGCCGAAATTCAGCCCTTCCCATCCAACCTCCAAAAATCCAAAAGGAAGACCACGGAGAAACACTGTATTTATATATGAAGTATCATTCCAGAGCAAGGAGCCCCTCCCAGACAAGAAAGGAAGAACCATTTCATTTTACTATCTTCTAAAATTTTCCCAGCTTCTTTAGTGCATATAAAGAACCATAAATAAGTATGCATGTATATGTGTGTTAATAATGATAAAATCATTCCAGAGGTAGATGATTTTACTTTGTATAATGTTAAAGAAATGAAAGTCTCATTGGGGCAGAATGACAGATAGAAAGGCCATGTTTAATGTTATCAATATAGTTGGGTGATAGAATAAATAATTTATATCAACATGACATTTTCCATATGGTAACCAAAAATTTATTTGACTAAGCTTTTATCTCCTGAACTTGCTGGCGGCTTTGGAATTAAAGAGAAAATCAGCCGGGCACGGTGGCTCACTCCTGTAATCCCAGCACTTTGGGAGGCCAAGGGTGGGGGTGTGGATCACAAGGTCAGGAGTTCAAGACCAGCCTGGCCAAGATGGTGAAACCCTGTCTCTACTAAAAAATACAAAAATTAGCTGGGCGTGGTGGTGGGCGCCTGTAATCCCAGCTACTTGGGAGGCTGAGGCAGGAGAATGGCTTGAACCCGGGAGGCGGAGGTTGTACTGAGCCGAGATTGCACCATTGAGCTTTAGCCTGGGCAACAGAGCAAGACTCTGTCTCAAAAAAAAAAAAAAAAAAAAAAGAGAGAGAAAATCGCCAGCTCTTCTAAAGGGTAAGTGGTATTTTTAGATGTTACTTCCCTAAATGAACTCTTCCCTGCCTCTACAAACCTATGCCCCAGCCTAAATCAGGGCCCCTGCTCTAAACTTCTCACTTAGAGCAACTATTATTATGTATGGGGAGGCTTATTTCATGAATGTCTGTCTCCGCCACCAGCCTGTGGTTTTGCTTACCTTCATACTCCCAGAGCCTAGCACAGTGCCTGGCAAACAGTAAGGCTCAATAGTATTTATTGAAGGAAAGACTATTCAGTAAGTTTGGATAAAGGCATTCATGTGCCTGGGCATCTTGGCAATAACTACTTTGTGTGAGAACACAAACGTGAACTGGAGAAAAGAATTTAAGTCTTAATTATCATCAAATCTGTTAAATCTATTAGTTCCTGTTTCAGTTCCTCTTTTCTTTTTTTTTTTTTTTTTTTTGAGATGGAGTCTCACTCTGTCACCCGGGCTGGAGTGCAGTGGCGCGATCTCGGCTCACTGCAAGCTCTGCCTCCTGGGTTCATGCCATTCTCCTGTCTCAGCCTCCCGAGTAGCTGGGAGTACAGGCACCTGCCAACTGCCCGCCACCACGCCTGGCTAATTTTTTTGTATTTTTAGTAGAGACGGGGTTTCACTGTGTTAGCCAGGATGGTCTCGATCCCCTGATCTCATGATTCACCTGCCTCGGCCTCCCAAAATGCTGGGATTACAGGCCTGAGCCGGATTACAGGCCTGAGCCACAGCGCCCAGCCCTTTTTTTTTTTTTTTTTTTTTAATCAAAAGCGTTAAAAGAATGTTGAGTACCTAGAAAAGCCAGCCCCACTCCTGAGAGGTATGTTCAATCTGTTCAGTCACTTCCTTAGACCAGCACTTTTGATTGATAACAGGTCTCATTTCCAGGGAAAGATGATGAGATTTTTCTCTAAACTACTACGAGGAGTTCACTATAGTTCACTAGAAACCATTGTCACTGTCATGTGTTGCTTATCATTAAAACCAGTTGACCTAACTCCACTCAAAGGAAGCAAGTACCAACCACATCTAATTATGTAAATAGCACTTAACACATACAGTAATACTCAGCATTTCCTGAGTACTTGTTAAGTACAGTACAATGCTAAGCAACTTCATGTGCATTGTCACATTTAACTCTCACAAGAATCCTGGGAGGTACTGTTATTATTTCCACAAGGCTAAAAGAGCTTTGGCCCTTAGCAAAAGTGGTGAAGACCAGACTAAACATCTGGGTTTGTCTGACCTCAGGGCCTTCCTTCTTAACCCCTGTACACACAGTCTCTCTGCGTAATCATCTTTTAAGGTGTTCATCTCCCTTACTAAACTGAGAAAGTCAAGGGCAAGACATATATTTTACTCATCCTTGTATCTCAGCTAGGAGCAGAGTGCTGGAAACATAATAGGTGCTCAGTGAATGTCTAGTGAATGAGGAAGGAAGTGCTTTCTCAATCATCAAAATGATGCTATGTTTAGTAGGGTTTTAATGTTAAATATACTGAACTATACTATGTATAGAAATAAAATATGAAATAAGACAAATTGTATGTAATAAGTCAAATATTACATATATAAATATATATAGCTCTTCTTGAGTTATTTTTTTATTTTTTTGAGACAGGGTCTCACTCTGTCGTCCAGGCTGAGTGTAGTGGCACGATCACAGCTCACTGTAGCCTCAACCTCCTGGGCTCAAGTGATCCTCCCACTTTAGCCTCCCAAGTAGCTAGGACTACAGGCACACACCACCATACCTGGATAGGTTCTGATTTTTTGGAGAGACGAGGTCTCGCTATATTGTCAAGGCTAGTCTTGAACTTCTGGATGTGAGCAATCCTCCTGCCTTGGCCTCACAAAGTGCTGGGCTTACAGGCATGCCATCGCACCTGGTATATATAACTATTTTTATTAAATTAATCCATGTTTTATGTCAAAGCATAAAACACTGCCAGTTTGTTAGGTCAAAAATGGTCAAGATCAAATACCAGCACTTTTACATGGCACAAGCTAATTTTTTTTAAAAGCTCTGTCAACTCTCAGTTATATAATTAAGTAAAATTCTCCAGTGCCAGATTTTTCCACTCAACTAGAGGTTTGTCATTATAAACTGTTAAAGAGAAAGTTTCATAAAAAATTAAGGATATCATATCTATAAACACGTTCTTCCAGGTTGAATAATCTAACTTTCATCCAACTTTGTGTTTTATTATTTTTCATGCCATTAGGGACAATTTGGTACTAACGAAAATTCAAGCAGGCACATATATATTACACATGGCTTGGATTCTCCATCTTTTTCGCTGCCAGATTGCCTATCTCCTTTCAAACTCCTTCTCAATGAAGTCTTTTCTTTTTTAGATTAACTCCACCTTTTATCCCATGCCCTAACCCACCCGCAGTGTTCCTCAAGCACTTTTCATAATGATGATAGTTCACATGTTTATAGTGATCACCTTTTGTTGAATACTGCTCTCTATTATATCCAATTATGTAAACCATTTGAAATGGAGGAACTATACCCAACTAATTAAGTTATTATACTAGGTGACTGACTGGTTGAGTTGGAAGATTAATTGTTTTTCTTTTTTTGTGTAAAAACAAACATAAAATTAGCACTTCAGAGAGTGACCCTGGATGACATTTTAAACACATGTGAGCTCTGCTTTGCTTCTACACGATACCTGAGGGAGCACTATGACCTCTCCTTATTGAATTCCTTATGCGCTAAACTTTAAACAGATTACTTTCTTGGGCCAGGCACAGTGGCTCATACCTGTAATCCCAGTGCTTTGGGAGGCCAAAGCAGGATGATGGCTTTGGGCCAGGAGCTTAAGACCAGCCTGGGCAACATAGTGAAACCCTGTCTCTATAGAAACATAGCTGGGCATGGCGGCATGTGCCTGTAGTCCAAGCTACTCAGTAGGCTGAGGCTAGGGGATTGCTTGAGCCCAAGAATTCAAGCTGCAGTGAGCCAAGGTCACACTACTGCACTCCAGCCTGGGTGGCAGAGCAAGACCCTGTCTTCATTTCACCTTACTCGAAACTTTGTCATCTAGGGATTGCCAGTGATACCAACAAGGCCTCCTGTTTTTTGGTGTTCCAAGAATACATACTTAATCCACTGGTGGGCCTCTGTGGAATTTTAAAACTCCACTCAATGCAAAGTCCACTTGGGAACTTCCTGGTCCTAGTTGAGTTGAACACAGTTGTATTTATCTGGCCTGGTTAAATTCTGAAATCCTACACGTAGATCAGCAACGCTGGCATTACTGGTTTTAAGAATTAAAGCAAGAGCCTTCATTGCTGATCTGAGTTAGATGTGGATTTCAAAGAGGATAGTAATCGACAGTGTTGTTGAGAATAGCACAGTGAAAAATGTAAAGGTCTACGCAAATATATTTTGCTTGTAACCTGACATTTTCCCTGTTCCCAGTGTGTACAAATGAGGTAGCATTTAGAATTGTAACTCAGGATTGGGGTGTCCTCATTGGCTGGTCCATTGCCCACTGTGTTTGCCCAATAAGTATATCACACTTTCTTATTTGTGAACTGAGATTAGAGGTGACTTCAAGTGACAATATGTTGTGATTCAATAACATCCTTCTAAAAACATGATGTTGACTACTTCAGAATTAATATTAGAACACTTGGAAACATTTCATTCAATAGCTGTGATGGTATTACTTTTTTTTTCTGGAGGCGGAGTCTCGCTCTGTCACCCAGGCTGGAGTGCAATGGCTCGGCTCACTGCAACCTCCACCTCCCGGGTTCAAGCAATTCTCCTGCCTCAGCCTCCTGAGTAGCTGGGATTACAGGCACCTGCCACCACGCCGAGCTAATTTTTGTATTTTTATTAGAGAGGGGGTTTCACTATGTTGGTCAGGCTGGTCTCAAACACCTAACCTCAGGTGATCTACCCACCTCAGCCTCCCAAAGTGCTGGGATTACAGGCATGAGCCACTGTACCCAGCCAGAATTACTTTTTTTTTTTTGAGACGGAGTTTTACCCTTATTGCCCAAGCCAGAGTACAATGGTGCGATCTCAGCTCACTGCAACCTCCGCCTCCCGGGTTCAAGCGATTCTCCTGCCTCAGCCTCCCAAGTAGCTGGGATTACAGGCACGCACCACCACATCTGGCTAATTTTTTTGTATTTTTAGTAGAAACGGGTTTTCACCACGTTAGCCAGGCTGGTCTCAAACTCCTAACCTCAGGTGATCCACCCACCTTGGCCTCCCAAAGTGCTGGGATTACAGGCATGAGCCACAGCGCCCAGCCCGGAATTACTACTTTTAAAAATCAAAAGTAACCTTAAGTTGTTTTCATCACCCCTATTTTCGTCCTGCATTACTGTGCCTTCTTTCAGGAAGAAACTAGCCTACAGTATAGTCAGCATATTTTGTGGTCCTACTGACTTGTGAGCTCATGTTCCCAACCATTTGCCAGGTTTAGTTTGTAAGAAGGATGACGAGGAGAAGGTTATAAATAATTGGTTCTGTCCCTGGCTGAAAAGCCATCTGTTTCCCATTTGTGGTTTGGGGTAATTTACTATCTCCAGCGTCCTACCTTTTAGATTAGGTAGAAAGAGAAAGTCCATTCTCAGATCCATTTTTTATAAAGTTAACACCATAACAACAGCTTAGATAAGCTCACTTTACATCCAGTTGTAGTTTAAGCTTCACAATACCCTGGTGTCACTGATTTTGTTGAATTGTATTTGGGTAACAGGTATGGGAAGGCATTGCTAAATTTTATGCAGAATTTGTGCCTTTGAGAAATAGATATTTGCTATTGGTTTATGGTAAGTAATATAAAATATAAAAGTTCTTTTGTTCATGTAAGTTGTGAGCTTATGTGTGATTTTTAACTTTTTTTTTTGAGATGCAGTTTCACTCTTGTGAAACTGGAGACTGGAGTGCAATAGCGCGATCTTGGCTCACCACAACCTCTGCCTCCTGGGTTCAAGCGATTCTCCTGCCTCAGCCTCCCAAGTAGCTGGGATTACAGGCATGTGCCACCACATCTGGCTAATTTTGTATTTTCAGTAGAGACAGGGTTTCTCCATGTTGGTCAGGCTGGTCTCGAACTCCCGACCTCAGGTGATCCACCCACCTCAGCCTCCCAAAGTGCTGGGATTACAGGTGTGAGCCACCGCGCCCAGCTGATTTTTAACATTTTTAAATTTTTAAATAATTTTAGAACTCTCCGATCTGTGTTTAATTTCTTAAGGATATTGTGAAGTTACTTATATATTAAGCCTACACAACTGTTGGAACAAAATACTGTTTCTGCTAGAAAAACTTGTCAATGTTCTAATGATGGGGTCCTGTTCTCCAATATTTGTCTACTGTTTTAAAAACACAGCAAAGAAAAAAAGAAGGAAGGTAGGCAGGCAGGCAGGCAGGGAGAAAGAGAAAAAGAGAAGAAAAAAGAGAAAGAAAAAGACTACATGAAAAGAAGAATGATAGAAATATAATAAAATAAAACTCAGCCTTAGTAAGTCACAAAAGAGATGCTTAATGGAAAAAAAATAAAAAGCAAACCTAGTACTTGCCAGATATTTTCTAAATATTATTTAGTAATGCATACAACAAACCATAAAATGAAAATTATTATTACTATTTTAACTGTGAGTAAATTGAAACTCAGAAAGTTAAGTAGCCAACTCCAGGTCACAAAGAGAGAAAGACACTGGGTAGGAGTCCAGCTTCAGGTGTAAATGACTTCAAAGCTGCCCTACTCTGTGTACCTCAATTAAAGATGACTCAACTCAAGCTTGGGACTAGTGGTGACTCCCAACGTGGAAGGCTGGATGCTTTACTTACATAGCAGAACCCTCCATTTGAGCTACATCTGTCCACTTCTGCTCTGATTCATCCATGCCTGTGCACATCTGGAAGGCCTTGGAGCAGTTCCCGCCAGAAATCTGTTTGCATGAGTCAATGAAGAGCCTCCTGAGAGAAAATTGATCCTAAGGGAGAAAACAGTAGGGACGTTGACATTTGTCCAATTACAAAGTCCTCAGAGTGAAGGAAGGAGCAGAGGAAACTGGTTTTAAACAGTAAGGGGCAAGGCTACATATCAATGCTGGAAGATGCTGGTACACATGCAGCCCAGCTTTCCTATCGTCTCTCTAACAGGGATGTGGGAGGGCAGCAGTCCCCCAATCCCCAAGACGGACCACAGACCAAAGCATTGCTCTGACCCTAGGAAAGGGCCTGTTTATGGGTGACAGGAAGGTTCAGATCCTAGTGGAGGAACCAGCAGTAGTGCCTGGAATAGAGCCCATATCCCAGGCATGGAGGAACAAGAGGAAGTAGTTGCTGGAGGAGGGTTAGAAGTGCTGGACAGAGGCCGGACACAGTGGCTCACACCTGTAATCCCAGCACTTTGAGAGGCTGGGGCAGGTGGATCACTTGAGGCCAGGAGTTCGAGACCAGCCTGGCCAACATGGTGAAACCCCGTCTCTACTAAAAATACAAAAATTAGCCGGGCATGGTGGTGGGGGCCTGTAATCCCAGCTACTCGGGAGGCTGAGGCAGGAGAATTGCTTGAACCCGGGAGGTGGAGGTTACAGTAAGCTGAGATGGCACCACTGCACTCCAGCCTGGGTGACAGAGTGAGACCCTGTCTCAAAAAAAAAAAAAAAAAAAAGTGCTGGGCAGAAATGGTGGCTCTCAGAGAATATAGCCCAGAGTAGGAAAGGGAGCAAATGGCTAAAGCCATCTTTTAATTAGCCAGTTTGGTGTTAAGGAAATGTAAGCCACCCCTAGTGAGTCCATGAAATGGATCCAGTCTTCTGCTCCACTGGGAGTAGGGGCCAGTAACATCCACACAAAATGCATACATTATCTCATTTAATGCTTACTGCAACCTAATAAAGTCTCAGTGTTGCTACCTCCAATTTATAGTTATTTTTAAAAGAAATGAGGTTCAAAAAGGATTAACAACTTTCTAGACTCACAAAAATAAGTAGTTGTGTTAATAAGAGGTTATGTCAGCAACTTGGCAGTATAAAAAACCCTGAATTATCCTTCCCCCCTCCCCTCCACATACTGATTCAGCAAAAATTCATTGACAAAATCCCTTTGCAAAAGATCAGAAACTACCTGAAAGGCTCCTGCACCCCCAGAAAATGCTACATCAGACTCACTAAAGCCAGTAAGGAGACTAGGGACACTCTCTCACTGGAGACCCTGCCCCTAACCCCGTGCTGTATGACCATGAGAAGATCCCCTCACTCCCAAGCTTCCACCAGAGGAGGGGAGAGGTTGGTCTTTGTGTCCAGCACCCCAACTCTTGTGAGAGGACTTCCCCAAACACTAGCTTTTATTTTGCCAGTCCTGGAAGTCTCATGATCAGTTACAGTTTGGATACCGAGGGGAGAATGGAGGTGGAGTCTCTGGCTGATAGGTGCCATTGGCCCTTCCCCTTGCACAGCACAGAGCTTGTGGATTAAAAAAACGTCCAGTTCTCAGCTCCCAGGGAAGAGAGAGTTGGCCCAGCAGCCCCGCTTATCAAAAAGAAAAAGATAAAAAGTGTTGACAAGGATGTGGAACTCCTGTACACTGTTGGTAGGAATGCAAAATGATGCAGCCACTATAGAAAACAGTTTGGAGTTTCCTCAAAAAATTAAAAATAGAACTACCATGTGATCTAGCAATCCCACTTGTGGGTACATATCCAAAAGAATTGAAATCAGGATCCCAAAGAGATATCTGTACCCCTGTGTTCATTGCACCATTATTCACAATAGCCAAGATGACTATGGAAACAAACTAAATATCCATTGAAGGATGAGTGAATAAAAAAAATGTGGGGCCAGGTGCGGTGGTTCACGCCTGTAATCCCAGCACTTTGGGAGGCTGGGGTGGGTGGATCACCTGAGGACAGGAGTTCGAGGCCAGCCTGGCCAACATGGTGAAACCCTGTCTCTACTAAAAATACAAAAATTAGCCAGGCGTGGTGGCATGCAACTGGAGTCCCAGCTACTAGGGAGGCTGAGGCAGGAGAATCACTGGAACCTGGGAGGCAGAGGTTGCAGTGAGCCGAGGTCGTGCTACTGCACTCCAGCCTGGGTGACAGAGCGAGACTCCATCTCAAAAAAAAAAAAATGTTTTTGACATGTTTAAATGGTTGTTTAAAAAAAAACAAAAACAAATAGCAACAAAAAACAGAAGACTATGTCACAGAGACTGTATATCAGATCAGTGGCCTGTTAGGAACCAGGCTGCACGGCAGGAGGCAAGTGGCAGGCGAGAGAGCATTACCGCCTGAGCTCCGTCTCCTGCCAGATCTATTAGATTCTCATAGGAGTACAAACTCTGTTGTGAACTGCACATACAAGGGATCTAGGTTGTGCACTTCTTATGAGAATCTAATGCCTGATGATCTGAGGTGGAACCGTTTCACCCTGAAACCTTCTGCCCCATACCCTCATCCATGGAAAAATTGTCTTTCACAAAACCAGTCCCTGGTGCCAAAAAGGTTGGGGACCACTGCTATATGTGGTCCACGAAGCCTAAAATCTTTACTATCTGGCCCTTTGCAGAAAGTTTCCCGACCCCTGTTAGATCTTTATGACCAGACATGGAAAGATTTCTAAGCAAAGTTATGGACTAGTATTAGCATATTTATGTTTTTAAAAATTCTTAGATATGTGTATGTACCTCTATGTACATATACAGGCACAGACAAAAGATTGAATCAATAGCCAGTAAACTGCTGTCAGTGACTCCCACTAGGAAGCGATGTGGGAACTAAGTGGGTCGGGATGTTTACTTTTTACTCTACAGATTTGTTCTGTTCTTGTCTTCTACAAAGAGAATATATTCATGTATTACTTTTTTGTTTTGTTTGTTATTGTTGTTTTTGTTTTGAGACAGGGTCTCATTCTGTCACCCAGGCTGGAGTGCAATGGCACGATCACAGCTCACTGCAGCGTTGACCTCCTGGGCTCAAGCAATCCTTCTACCTCAACCTCCCGAGTAGTTGGGACTACAGACGTGCACCACCGTGCCTGGCTAATTTTCATATTTTGTTTGTTTGTTTGTTTGTTTGTTTGTTTGTTTTTGTTTGAGATGGAGTTTCACTCTGTTGCCCAGGCTGGAGTGCAGTGGCATGATCTTGGCTCACTGCAACCTCTGCCTCCCAGGTTCAAGCAACTCTCCTGTCTCAGCCTCCCGAGTAGCTGGGACTACAGGCGCATGCCACCACTCCTGGCTAATTTTTGTATTTTTAGTAGAAATCGGGTTTCACCATGTTGGTCAAGCTGGTCTTGAACTCCTGACCTCAAGTGATCCACCCACCTCCGCCTCCCAAAGTGCTGGGATTACAGGCGTGAGCCACCACACCTGGCCTTAATTTTTGTATTTTTTATAGAGACAGCATCTTGCTATGGTGCCCAGGCTGGTCTCGAACCCCTGGGCTCAAGCAATCCTCCCACCTCTGCCACCCAAAGTGCTGGGATTACAAGCATGAGCTACCACACCTGGCCTATGTATTACTTCTATAATTAAAAAATAGTAAAAAGGTGCCCGGGAGGTGATGGCCACCCCCCAGCAGTGTCTGGGCTCTCCTGGCAGGTGTGATGCTTCAGTACATCTGTGGTCAGACCATTGTCAAGCTTGTGAGGCCTCCTGTTTAGGTACACAGTATGGAAGGTCGCTATGCCACAGCTCTTTATTCTGCTGCATTGAAACAGAATAAGCTGGAGCAAGTAGAAAAGGAGCTGTTGAGAATAGCACAAATCCTAAAGGAACCCAAAGTGGCTGCTTCTATTTTGAATCCCTGTGTGAAGTGTTCCATTAAAGTGAAAAGCCTAAATGACATCACAGCCAAAGAGACATTCTCTCTCCAACCCTGATCAATTTGCTTGCTCAATATGGTTGCTTAAGCAATACCCAAGGAGTCGTTTCTTCTTTTTTCTACCATGATGAGTGTCCACCGTGGAGAGGTACCTTGCACAGGGACCACTGCATCTCCTTTAGAGGAAGCCACACTCTCTGAATTAAAAACAGTCCTGAAGAGCTTCCTAAGTCAAAGCCAAGTATTGAAATTGGAGGGTAAGACTGATCCGTCAATCATGGGTGGAATGATTGTGCGCATTTGAGAGAAATATGTTGACATGTCTGTTAAGACCAAGATTCAGAAGCTGAGCAGGGCTATGCGGGAGGTTGTCTAAAAGTATTGGTTTTCTACCATCACTGAAAATTCTTAAACTTGGAGCAACAATAAAAAGCTTCCAGAGCAGAAAAAATAATAATAAAAATACTACTTGAACAAAATAATAAATAATAATCTTTAGCCCTTCAAATTTCTACTTTTCAGCCAGGCATGGTGGCTCACGCCTGTTTTCCCAGCACTCTGGGAGGCTTGAGGTGGATGGATCACTTAAGGTCAGGAGCTCAAGACCAGCCTTGTCAACATGGTGAAGTTCTGTCTCTACTAATAATACCTGGATAAAAATTACTAGAATACACACGGCAGATTAACATTCAGTATCTACCTAATCTCTTTCTAGTGTGCTCTCTTATATTGAAGAAGATGAAAGATTAAAGAAAAAAAATTCTACATATTTCAGACTCCCTTGCAGCTAGGGCTCTGGGTGTGATTTAGGTTTCTTAAATCAGATTATGAGGTAAGAGCCCTCCTTTTTTGTTGTTTCTACATTTACACTTTAAAAATGGTCACAAAGAGGCTGGGCATGGTGGCTCACCCCTATAATTCCAGCCCTTTGGGAGGCTGAGGCAGATGGATCTCTTAAACCCAGAAGTTCAAGACCAACCTGGGCAACATAGCAAAGCCCTGTCTCTACAAAAAATTAAAGAGTTAGCCAGGCATGGTTGTGCACACTTGTAGTCCCAGCTACTTGGAAGGCTGAAGTTGGAGCCTGGAGTTCAAGGCTGCAGTGAGTTGTGATTGTGACATTGAACTCCAGCCTGAGTAAAAGAGCAAGACTCTGTCTCAAAATAATAATTTTTAAAAAATGGTCACAGAGGTGTGTGGTTTCTCTAGGGTAGGATTAGCAGCATTCAGGCACTAGCTCCTCTGTCAAGGAGCAGGCTACAGCAGGTACAGCTCCATTCTAAAGCTGGTCATTGTGGAGACAGGTTTCTACTCATGACGGCTTCCTGATTGGATCAGTGATGGTATGACTTCATGGCCAACAACTGTTACAGCAGCTTCCCCATTCAGCAAATGCCTTCCTGACAAGAGAATATGCAGCAGCTTCCTTGGTGTTCTGATTCTGCAGTGTGGCTTTGAGAATCATTTCTGAATACTCAGCCTAGAATCTTGTTTCTTTAGCCCTTCAAATTTCTACTTTTCGGCCGGGCATGGTGGTTCACGCTTGTAATCCCAGCACTCTGAGAGGCTTGAGGCAGATGGATCATTTGAGGTCAGGAGTTCAAGACCGGCCTTGTCAACACGGTGAAATCCTGTCTCTACTGAAAATACAAAAATTAGCCAGGCATGGTGGTGGGCACCTGTAACCCCAGATATTCAGGAGGCAGAGGCAGAGGCAGGAGAACAGCTTGAACCCAGGAGGCAGAGGTTGCAGTGAGCCCTGATTGTGCCACTATACTCCAGCCTGGGCAACAGAGCGAGACTCCAACTCAAAAAAAAAATCAACTTTTCTATAGCTTGAGTAGATTCTGTTCTCTAAAAGTGAACCCCAATCAACACAGCAACCTAAGTCCTGTAACAGAGTTATGAGAGTAAAGAAGGAATTCTAAGGAGGTCACATACATTCTTTCTAATCCTCACAGCAACATAGGAGGTAGGACTCTCATTTTAGAGGAGAGAAAATAAAACACAGGAGATAAAGTTCCTGAATCAGCGTCATATAATTATTAACTAGCAGAACAGGGACTCGAACCTATATCCATCTGAGTATAAAACCCATTTCCATACACACAAAAGCATGTATGTCAACTTGGCAATGCGATCCTCAGGCTCATTATGGAGGTGGTGGTGGTGGGGTTGTTTCTGTTACCATTAAAGTACAAATGCACGCATGTACAGCAACAGGACAGAGGTTAAATGTTGGTAGATTTATGTGACCCAGAGTATTTATCTTTTAAGTATACTCATGGCTTTTAATCTTTGGGGATGGCGGGGGCGGTGATCACAAACCCAACCACTGAGAATCTGATGAAACTACAAATCTTTTCTCCAGAAAAAGTTCACACTCAATTTTAAGGAGTTTATGTACCCAAGTAAATAATACATTCAATAAATGTTATTGAGCTTCACCGAGTCCTAAGGTTGTAATAATTTGTATCATCTTTTTTATTTTTTGAGACAGAATCTCACTGTTGCCCAGGCTGACGTGCAGTGTCGTGATCACGGCTCACTGCAGCCTCAACCTCCTGGCTCAAGCAATCCTCCCACATCAGCCTCCCAAGTAGCTAGGACCAGAGGTGCATGTGTCACAACACTGGGCTAATTTTTTTATTTTTTGTAGAGACGGGGTTTTGCTATGTGCCCAGGCTGGTCTTGAACTCCTGGGCTCAAGTGATCCACCCACCTCAGCCTCCCAAAGTGCTGGGATCACAGGCGTGAGCCACGACACTTGGCCGTTTGCATGATCTTAAAGCAGCTACAAATTTCATTCTTCCAAAGAACTGGTTCACACAATCTTCCTAGTGAACTTTTCTTAACAGATTCATCTGTTCAAATCATTCCCAATTCTAGGCATTATTCAGGGTATCAGAAGCCCTTACCACTGTGTCATTCTCACAGGGTTCCACCCAAGTTCAAATATGACAGAACCTCTAGCCTCACACAGTATCTGCCATCATGTGTTTGCTTTATGGGAAAACATCCCTTTGTGCCTGGTTTGTCCATGAACATATTACTGCGCATTCACTCAGTTAAATTAAACAACTTAAGCCAGGCACAGTGGCTCATGCCTGTAATCCCAGCACTTTGGGAGGCCGAGGCGGGTGGATCACCTGAAGTCAAGTGGATCAGCTGAAGTCAGGAGTTCGAGACCATCCTGGCCAACATGGTGAAACCCCGTCTCTACTAAAAATACAAAAATTAGCTGGGCATGGTTGTGGACCCCTGTAATCCCAGCTACTCAGAGGCTGAGGCAGGAGAGTCACTTGAACCCAGGAGGAGGAGGTTGCAGTGAGCCGAGATCACGCCATTGCACTCCAGCCTGGGCAACAAAGCAAAACTCCATCTGAAAAAAAAAAAAAAATTAAGCCACTTGATGTAATGCATATTTCCAGGCCACATGAGCCTGGAGGTTAAAAATAATCAAAATAGACATCACCTAAAAGGATAACCTTGATTTCATTCTCATTTATGCTGTAGGAAATCCAACCATCCATCAAATTCCTCCCAAATGGTGCCACTTAGCTCTATTGGGTGCCTCCAATGTACCCTTGAAGCCACTTTCCATGTACCTCACTCAGCACTTACATCTGGTGCCAGAGCCTCTAAAGCGACCATAATGTTGCAAGACCTGATATTCTCCCTGCTTTTACTCCGTAAATCCCTGTGTCCACCACCCGCTCCAACTGCATCCAAGGAGAAACATATCCTGCCACTGGATGGAAGTAAAACTGCATAAAAGCAAGCTTACTGCAGTCATTTCTGCCTTACAAGAGACCATAGTCCATGCACAATTCATATCAAGGGGCAGAGAAATTTCTTCACTGCTTCCATCTACTGCAAACAGACACCGGTGGAGGCAAGAGGAAAAGGAAGACTGAAATGTCAAAGACACAGCTCCTCTATGTTGCTAAACTGCGTGATACAGAGAGTAGATGGTATGTTGTTTTCACGGAGATATTCATGAGACTTCAGCTATAAGACCAAAGGCCTGAAAAACTAAGAGAGGGCAGAGAATTTAAACTAGTAGCAACTGAAATACAGAGAGTAGGTGTATTGGTTTAGGTTTTACAAAAAGCAGCTGCTAAGGAAGGGCTTAGGTGTAGGCAGGTTGCCGGGAGGTGTTGCTAGGAAACAGAAGTGAGGGGGTGGGTAAAGTGAGAGACAGGAAAAAGAGAGAAGCCATGAAGGATTTTTGTTTTTCTGTGTTTTTGTAAACTAAATTTTATTTTGTTAATTGACAAATAATAATTGTATATATTTATGGGGTACATAGTGATGTTGCAATACATATGTAGAGTGATTAGATCGGGATAATTAGCATATCCATCATCTCAAACATTTATCATTTCTTTGTGTTGGGAACATTCAATATCTTCCTTCTCACTATTGAAATGACATAATATATTATTGTTAATTATAGCCACCCTACAGTGGCATATGTTAATAAGAACACTGCTGGTGCTGGGACTCTCCGCAGAGCTCTGTAGAACATGCTACACAATCTCCCCACTGTGAGACTGGGAAGCTGGGGTATTTATCTACCTACATATGCTCCCCATCAGCTCTGGGTTGGTATTAGAGCATAAACCCCCCTGTCGCAGGCCCGGTGTCTCAGAATGCCCTTAAGCAGTGACGCACTTAAGGCCCTGAAGTGAGGAATAGTCAGTGTGCCTGATAACCAGCCACCAAAATTGACAGGTGACCTCAGAGAGGGCAGATTGCTTTGTGGTGAGATAGACTCTCCAGGGGAGGTTGAGCAGTGCAGTGATGTGATACCATTTCTGGACTCTAAATATTAAATAAAATCTGCCACATGTATAAACACCTTCCATAAGGGGGTCTTTGAAAGAAAGCAGGAAAGCCTGGGTGCGGTGGCTTCTGCCTATAATCCCAGCACTTTGGGAGGCCGAGGCGGGTGGATCACCTGAGGTTAGGAGTTTAAGACCAGCCTGACCAGGGCCGGGCGCGGTGGCTCATGCCTGTAATCCCAGCACTTTGGGAGGCCGAGGCAGGCGGATCACAAGGTCAGGAGATCGAGGCCATTCTGGCTAACACAGTGAAACCCCGTCTCTACTAAAAATACAAAAAATTAGCCGGGCATCATGGCACATGCCTGTAGTCCCAGCTGTTCGGGAGGCTGAGGCAGGAGAATGGCGTGAACCCGGGAGGCGGAGCTTGCAGTGAGCCGAGATCGCGCCACTGCACTCCGGCCTGGGCAACAGAGCAAGACTCGGTCTCAAAAAAAAAAAAAAAAAAAAAAAGACCAGCCTGACCAATATGGTGAAACCCCGTCTCTACTAAAAATACAAAAATTAGCTGGGCATGGTGGTGCACGCCTGTAATCCCAGCTACTTGGCAGGCTGAGACAGAAGAATTGCTTGAACCAGGGAGGCAGAGGTTGCAGTGAGCCAAGATTGTGCCACTGCACTCCAGCGACTGCACTTCAGCTGTTTGACACAGTGAGACTCTCAGAAAGAGAAAGAAAGAAAGAAGGAAAGAGAGAGAGAGAGAGAGAGGAAGGAAGGGAGGGAGGGAGGGAAGGAAGGAAGAAGGGGAGAGAAATAATCCTGGGAAAGTGCCTGAATTCCTAATGTGGGTAACTGAAGAAGAGAAAAGCCAAGCCGGCTGAGGGGTGGGGTGAAGAGGCCAGTGGGAGCAGAAGCCAGAGGTGACCCTGGGGATAGCCACGGGAAACTGAAAAATCAGGGTGCTCTCAGATGAAGCTTCACAGTAAGGTGTCCTGGTCCCCTTTGTGTCTTACTGAGGTTACCAGCAGAGCAACTCTTTCCATTCTTATTTGATGTTTATTGCCGCTCCTTCTCCTTCCTCCAGGACGCAAGAGTGCAGCCCAGCAAGCTGACACAGAGGGCCATGGGAGTGGCAGACATCCATCACAGCACCCTCACAACCCTGCCCTCTCTTGTCCCCAGTACTTGGCTTCTTGCTATCTTTAAACCAACCTGTGAACTTCAATTATTTTTTTCCCTTTATGTGGTTCCTTTCCATGAGGCTCTTAATTCAAAAACCCAACCCCCTGGGACACATCAGCCTTCCAGATCATGCCCAAGCAAGTCTGAGTCCTAAGATGAACTGGGCTTAGGTTATCCAGCAGGGATCCCTGCTGTGAACCTGCTGCAAGTGTAGAAGGGATCAGCCCCAGGGCAGTTGGCTAATTACTGCCTCATAGAAATATATCACTATGTCAGCAGTTCTGAGAGCACTCTTAGAGACAGACCCTGTGGTGAGCCAGAAAGAGCTGTTTTTCTGTCCACTGGAAAATATTTCTAAGACAAAGCCTGATCCACCAAAGCATTAGCTAGGATTTTAGGCCATGGGCAGATTAATCACATTCCTGCCCAGTGGGGCTCCACTGAGGGAAACCAGGGAGAGCTGCTAAGTGGGTAACTGCAGTGCCTCAATAAATGCACCAGGATTCAGGCAGGCAACAAATCCCAGATCCTGCCTGAAGATGGGGAAGGAGTTCCAATATCCCACCATGCTTGGTCCTCAGAGTTTGCAGACCTAGACTGGGTCAAAGTTTCCAACCATTTTACTTTCCTTACCAGTGTTCTTTGAATACTTACCAAGTCCTCTACAGACTTCCTAAAGTTTGAAGTGTCTCAACCTGCCTCACCCCCCAGCCCCAGCCCCAGCCCCAGCTCTTCTTGCTCTGATTTTAGGGCCCATAGACTGGGCCACCCTCTGCTAGTGCAACCCATTTTGGCAGGGAAGGAAGGGCTGGGTAGCATGATGCTGCCAAAGGGGGATCTATTTTTAACTTCCATTCTTGTGAAAAGATAAGAAAAAAACCTTCTCTGAAAACACAGAAACCTTCTCTGTGGTCCTACCAGAGAAAACAGATGTAGGTACCATTACTATGAGACCCAGATGGAGAACACACAGTTGGTGGCATTAAATTCTCCCTTGGCCACATTGGTAAGGTGTTATTGCAAGTGTATGTCTGACTGAACGCTACTCCAGAATCCATTAGACATCTTCTGTATTTTATTATGTTAAAATGTATCCCTAAATCAAATGGGCTAAGTTATGCTGCAATAACAAACACTTCCAAAATGTCAGTTGCTTAAAACAATAGAGGTTTATTCTCACTCTCCCTACACATCCATCATACCTTGGCTGGAAACTCTGCTCCAAGTTTACTCACTCTGGGACTCAGGGGAAAAGGAGAAGACATTCTCGAGAATATTGCCTGTCTCTCTGGCACAGGAAAAGAGAGAACATGGTGTTGTAGACCAAATTCTGAAAGTTCAAAAAAAAGGCAGGCATTATCCCCCTTCCCTCTCTATAGAATCTCTTCACATTAAAAAAGGTCAGCAAACAAACCTTTCTCAAACCCCTCTAGTTACTATTACTATTATTATTTTTATTAATATCTTTCCAACCTTTTTTTTTTCCCGAGACGAAGTTTCACTCTTGTTTCCCAGGCTGGAGTGCAATGGCACGATCTCGGCTCACCACAACCTCCACCTCCTGGGTTCAAGAGATTCTCCTGCCTCAGCCTCCTGAGTAGCTAGGATTACAGGCATGTGCCACCACACCCGGCTAATTTTTTGTATTTTTAGTAGAGATGGGGTTTCTCCATGTTGGTCAGACTGGTCTTGAATTCCTGACCTCAGGTGATCCGCCCACTTCAGTCTCCCAAAGTGCTGGGATTACAGGCGTAAGCCACCGCACCCAGCCCTTTCCAGCCTTTTAAAAGTAATTTCTCACCCAGGCGCGATGACTCACACCTGTAATCCCAACACTTTGGGAGGCCCAGGCCGGCAGATCACCTGATGTCAGGAGTTTGAGACCAGCCTGGCCAACATGGAGAAACCCCGTCTCTATTAAAAATGCAAAAAATTAGCCAGGTGTGGTGGCGCATGCCTGTAATCCCAGCTACTCAGGAGGCTGAGACAGGAGAATTGCTTAAACCTGGGAGGTGGAGGTTACAGTGAGCTGAGATCGTGCCACTGCACTGCAGCCTGGGCGATAGAGTGAGACCCCTGTCTCAAAAGAAAAAAATAAGTAATTTCTCACTGACTGCACTTGTCCACCCCCTTTCCTCTAACTCTCCCCAAATCATTTGGTCTGCCTTGCTCCTCGACCACCCATCTGTAGATGCTCTTGTAAAGTCACCAATGACTCACCTACTGCTTAAACCAAGGAATACTTTTCCCATTCTACCGGTCATCTCTGAAACATTTCTGCCTGATGGCCATACCTTTCTTTAAATCTTTTTGTTTAGTATTTTAGGACACCAGCATATTTTAAAGACCCAGATATCATATGATTAATAAGCATTTCAGGATGTATTGCTAACTAACAAACTTTTTTAAACATAATCATCTTTCCATTATCACACCTGACAAAATTAACAAGGGATCCTTTACTTACTTCATCTAATACCCAGTGTGTGTTAAAATTTCCCTGATTGTCTCAAAGGCAGCCAGCCTTCAAACAAGGTCTACACATTTTATCTGGTTATAAAGTCCCTTAAATCTCTTTTATTTTATTAGTCCCTCATCTCTCCTTTCATTCTCGTACAATAAATTTGTTGGAGAATCATTTATCCTTTAGAATGTTACAAATTTTAGATGTGGCTGGTTGCTTTCTCATAATGTCATTTAACTCTTCCTCCATCCCCGGCATTTCTGGCAAAATGGTAGTTAGATTTAGAGATTTGATTCTATTTGGTTCAATTTACTTTAGGCAAGAATACTTCATAGGTGATGCTGTGCACTTTCTATTGTATCACATCAAGACGCACGGAATGTCTGGCTGGCCCACATTTAGTGACGTTAAGATCAATCAGTTGGGTTCAGGTAGTAGCCTAATTCTTCATTTGTAAAGTTCCTCCATCAACTTTTAATCTACTTATTTTAGCATCCACTGAAGATGATTGCCTAGATCCATTATATTTTTAGGAGTTGCAAAATGGTGATTTTCTAATCCTTTCATTTTTTTTTCCACCTACAGTTATAAGCTGGATTTTTTATGTAAACGAAAACTTTCCTTTATTAATAGTTTGGCTATCCTGGGCATAGTATATACAGGAAACACAGGAAAATGCTTAATTCTTTCCTTATTTTCAGGGTAATGACAGTAAATGAGTTATAATGTCCTAATGACCTCCAAATGGTGACCAATTAGTTTTTCCTTCAGTGTCATTATGAACTCATAGATTTTTAATATATTTGATGAGCTGTAGTCATTATTTATCTTGATTTCTGCCCAAAATGTCTATTCTGAGACCAGAGAAAGGCCCTTCAAGATGGCTCTTTTATGGCCAGGTGCAGTCGCTCACACCTGCAATCCCAGCACTTTGAGAGGCCGAGGCAGGAGGATCACCTGAGGTCAGGAGTTCAAGACCAGCCTGGCCAACATGGTGAAACCCTGTCTCTACCAAAAATACAAAAATTAGCCAGGCGTGGTGGTGCATGCCTGTAGTCCCAGCTTCTCAGGAGGCTGAAGCAGGAGAATCACTTGGACGCGGGAGGCGGAAGTTGCAGTGAGCCGAGATCACGCCACCACACTCCAGCCTGGGTGACAGAGTGAGACTCCATCTCAAAAAAATAGATGGCTGTTTTATCATTTTGACTTAATTTATAACTTCTTTGTTTTCCAGCTCATATAGGTACTAACCTCATATAGGTAGTGTACATTTCCTATCATTTTTCCAAAGACCTCTGGCAGCTTTGTAAAGAAAATGGATATTTAGAGACTGTAATCTAGGCACAACTGGAGCTCGTCACTTGCTTTTTATTACTTCTAGGTGTTTTGGAGAACAGAGCTAAAATTACATTTTTAAGAGAAAAATATAATTTTGAGTTCATTCTTATACTTCCAATTCAAATTTAAAATTACAATGTTTTAACTTAACCTCCTTGATTCTTTAAATCTTTTTTTATATTTTTTCTTTCTTTTTTTAAATTGTTTTAAATTATTTTATTCATATTTATTTATACATTTCTTTTGGGTTTTGTTACCCATGAATATAAACTTCCTTGATTTTTGTACATTATTTCTCTGCTCTTGTACTGATTACTGAATATCTTCATTCTAAATTATATTTATGTAAGTTTTAATTTCACTTTACTTTTCAATATATCTAGAATATTTTCAGATAATGCCAATATTTCTACTATCAATAAATACTGATTGCAGTTTTGAGTTTCTTTGCCATTCTTTTGTTCTTAAATTATATCTCATAAGGATGTACAGGAAAAATACTGTATTTTAAAGTCACTTGAAATGATTTTTTTCTCTGTATGAATATGCTACCAACTTGACATACAGTTAGGTTCATTAGTTTCAGGTTGTTTTTCATTTTTAAAGACTGCTGTCTTCATTTGATTCTGTTTTATTCATTTAATTAAATAAAAAATATGATTACAAAAACAGAATTATATATTGAGATACATGTTTTTTGGTTTTTGTAGGGACAAGGTCTTGCTCTGTCACTCAGGCTGGAGCACAGTGGCATAGTCATAGCTTATTACAGGCTCAAACTCCTGGGCTCAAGTGATCCTCCCACCTCAGCTTCCCAAGTAGCTGGGATTACAGGCATGAGCCACGATGCCCAGCTCAAGTTACTTTTTAGATACCTTTTGTTGCAAAGGGAATGGATTGCAGATAGGGACAGCTTTCATCCTTATCTTTTTCACCTTTTATTCTACCCTATTTATAGATAACCATTTTAATATAAGTATATACAGATGTGTGTGTGAGCGCATGTGTATACACACACATATTCACATATAGACACATATTCACACACTTTGTCTTAATCAAACATTAGCATACTATAATACAGTTCTAGACCTTCATCTTTTTTTGCTAAAATATATCTTGGTGATCACTCTATATCAGTACGCAAAGATCTTCTTTATTTCTCTGTCACCTGCAAAAGACTCCATTGTATAGATATACCATAATCTCTTTGATTTATGTGTGTCTCTTATATATAATGTAGAGCTGAATTAGCCTGTTTTTCACTGTCATAAAAAGATTTCTTTTTGAGACACAGTCTTGCTCTGTCACCCAGGCTGGAATGCAGTGGCACAATCTCGGCTCACTGCAACCTCTGCCTCCTGGGATTAAGCAATCCTCCCACCTCAGCCTCCCAAGTAGCTGGGACTACAGGCATGCACCACTACACCTGGTTAATTTTTGTATTTTTACTAGAGACAGGGTTTCACCATGTTGTCCAGGCTGGTCTCGAACTCCTGACCTCAAGTGATCTGCCTGCCTTGGCCTCCCAAAGTGTTGGGATTACAGGTCACAAAAAAAGATTTATAATTTTAGAATGCGGTTACCAATTCGATACTATAAAACATATCTATGAATGATTGTTGTACAAAATGTTTCCTTCCACTTAAATTAGGTCATAGTTTGGATAAGCAGTGCAGAATTCGGGGAAAGCAGTAATCTTACCTTTTGTGTGTTTTACACATCATCTAGGACACTGTGGCTTTACAATAAGATGTTTGTGCACCAAGACTCTCATGACATTGTCAACAATTTTCAGAGAAGCCTTCCTCCTAAGACCAGTGAGAATAAATTTAAGATGAGATACACAGTGTCTAGGAGCTGTCTCTTCCATTTTTTCACTCTTTCACAGCTTAACTAAAAATAGCACAATGCTAAAACAGACTAGGGTAATTTAAAAAAATCCTTGGCGGCCGAGTGCCGTGGCTCACACCTGTAATCCCAGCACTTTGGGAGACCGAGGTGGGTGGATCACCTGAGGTCAGGGGTTTGAGACCAGCCTGGCCAATATGGCGAAACCCCGTCTCTACTAAAAGTACAAAAATTAGCCGGGCGTGGTGGTGGGCGCCTGTAATCCCAGCTACTCAGGAGGCTGAGGCAGGAGAATCACTTGAACCCAGGAGGCAGAAGTTGCAGTGAGCTGAGATTGCGCCACTGAACTCCAACCTGGGCGACAAGAGTGAGATTCTGTCTTAAAAAAAAAAAAAAAAAAAATCCCTGGCATGTGAATAGTGACCTCACTCAGGTTCCATTCTGGGAATGATGTCCATATGAAAGTTTCAAAGTTAATTATTAGTCATTTGTCACACTGACCATCACAGGTTGCGGGGAAGGTCCTTACAGATGTTTTTACCATTTAAAAACTTCACACAGGCCGGGTGCGGTGGCTCACGCCTGTGATCCCAGCACTTTGGGAAGCCGAGGCAGGCAGATCACTTGAGGCCAGGAGTTCGAGACCAGCCTGGCCAACATGGTGAAACCCTGTCTCCACTAAAAATACAAAAAAAATTAGCTGAGCATGATGGTACGTGCCTGTAATCCCAGCTACTCAGGAGGCTGAGGCAGGAGAATCTCTTGAATCTGGGAGGCAGAGGTTGTAGTGAGCCGAGATCATGCCACTGTACTCCAGCCTAGGCAACAGAGTGAGACTCTCTCAAAAAATAAAATAAAATAAAAACTTCACAAAGAGCCACTGAGTCCCTTCCTCCTCCATGTTGTGTTACTGACTATACTGCTGGCAAATAGGAGTAGAGAATCAGGAAAGAGTAAGCCAACCTCTGGAAACTGTGCCCCACAGGGTTAGAGAATTTGGTAACTAACAACAAATTCTCCAGCTTGTCTTGCAGGGCAGCAGATATGGGAACAGTTTGTTACAATCCCTTCCCTTCGCAACAAAATTGGGTGACAGGCTGAAACTGGCTGGAACCAATATGGCTGACTAGAGTCAGCTCAGAATAGACCTGCTTACCCAACACCTTTCGACATCACAGCCCAAATTTCCACCACATGTTACATACCAACTCCACCTGAATTTGCATGTGCGACCTATGAAGAAGAATGAAGAGGCAACAAACAGCCCATGCCCAACTAATACTCTGAGCAGCAGGCACAGCTGCCTTTTCCTGAATCTACATCCTACCCCAGCACTCAACAGTGACATAATCCCTTCAAATGTTGGGTACAGGGTGCGGTCATATCCCAGAGACATAACATCCAGAGATTACAAATTGTTATCTGGCACTCTCTTCAAGTAGAAGGGCACTCCTTTTGTAATTCCAGTCTCATGAAATCCATTGCCTTTCCTTAAGGCCTTGCCTTCTCAGTTATTTTTGAGCTGAAATCCTCCTGAATAATGAATTGTCAGACAAAAAGAGGTTAGGAAAATAACAATACAGATTGCCAACGGCTAAGCTATAAAAATGATTATCCCTGCTTTTTACTCCAAGGATAAACAGGATTTTTTTCTAGTTTGTTTCCCTTTGTGGTAGCCCTATAATGTTAGCCACTATGAACCAAGTAACCACTATGTGTCAGGGAATGTGCTAAACAGGTAACCTTATGTGTTTTCTTTTCATTCCATCTTTACAAAAATTCTGTGAGGGAGAGTTTGCAGTCAGTTAAGTTTTTCATTTATTTGTTTCGAACACAAAGTTACCCAGATTACCTCACACAATGAGACGTTATTGTAATGATACCTTGAATGATGAAAGCTGTCCTTATTTTTCAAGGAATTTAACACGGTGTGATGTACGTGAGTCACAGCTTGGTTTGGCAACATATCATAACAAACTCAAAGTAATGGTGACCTAAACACATAAGAGCTTGTATCTCTCAAGAGACAAAAAGTCTGGAAATAAAAGGTTGCTAGCATTACTTCAGTGCCTCAAGAATTTCTAAACGGAGACAGCTTTGGTAACTTCTCCCCTATACTTGTCTTGCCCTTGTAGTTCAAAAGAGTTACTGAATCTTGTTGACCTTCCAAGTCATACCTCGAAATCTGAGCCAGCTTTCCTTGAAGCCCCAGCCAGTGTTTTCTACCGAAATCTTAGTGGCCATGCTCAGTTTCACTGGAAGCTGGGAACTGTAGTGTTTTGTCTGAGTATACTGCTGTCCTAAGTAAAACTGTGGTTCTGATGATAAGAAAGGAGGGAATGGATTTTTAGGTGGTAATTGTGGTCCCTGGCACAGGGTAAAGAGGTGGCATAGCACCTTACCAATAGAAAGTATAACCAGTCTGGGCATGGTGGCTCACACCTGTAATCCCAGCACTTTGGAAGGCCAACGCAGGAGGATCACTTGAGCCCAGGAGTTAGAAACCAACCTGGGCAATGTAGCTGAGGTTGTTGATCATCAGCACTTGTTTTCTGAGCACCCGTTATGATCCTGCTGATCAAAATAGAATATGATTAAAACAGGATGGTGTAAAGAAACTGGCCAAAACCAGCTACACCAAGATGGTGATGAAAGGGACTTCTAATTGCCCTTACTGCTCATTATAAGCCAATTATAATGCATTAGCATGCTAAGACACTCCCACCAGCACCATGAGTTTACGAATGCCATGGCAACGCCCAAAAGTTACCTTATATGGTTTAAAATGGGAGGAACTCTTGGTTCTGGAACCTCTCCACCCCTTTTCTAGAAAATCTGTGAATGACCCACCCCTTATGTAGCATATAATTAAGGAATGGCTATAGATCTAGCTAGACGGCAATCCGTATGTGCTCCTCTCTGCCTGTGGGGTAGCCCTGCTCTGTCTATGGAGCAGCCGTTTTCCTATACTCTATTCCTGTAATAAGCTTCCATTGCTTTCACTTTATTCTGTTGGCTCACTCTTGAATTCTTTCCTGTGTGAAGTCAAGAACTCTACTGGACCGACCCCAGTTTGGGGATTCACCTATTTATAGTGAGACCCCAACTCTACAGGAAAAAAAAATTAGCTGGGCATGGTGGGGGCACATGCCTAGAGTCCCAGTTACTTTGGAGGCTGAGATGGGAGGATCACTTGAGTCCAGGAGGTCGAGGCTGCAGATCATGGCCACTGCACTCCAGCCTGGGCAACAGAGTGAGACCCTGTCTCAAAAGAAAGTATAAGGCTGGGCATGGTGGCTCACACCTGTAATCCCAGCATTTTGGGAGGCTGAGGCAGGTGGATCACTTGAGGTCAGGAGTTCAAGACCTGCCTGGCCAACATGGTGAAACCCTGTCTCTACTAAAAATACAAAACAAAATTAGCCAGGCATAGTGGCATGCACCTGTAATCCCAGCTACTTGAGAGGCTGAAGCAGGAGAATCACTTGAACCAGGGAGGTGGAGGTTGCAGTGAGCCAAGATCACGCCACTGCACTCCAGCCTGGGTGACAGAGTGAGACTGTCTCAAAAAACAAAAAAAGAAAGAAAGAAAGTAAAACCAGAAAGTATCTAGGGCAATTCATAGCAAGTAATAATAATAACACAAGCATTTATTGAAACTTTATTCTTTATGTGCTTTACACATACCGTCTCAGTGAAACCTCACAACAACACTATGATATAGGTAATATCATTATCCCCATTCACCAGATTAAAAAACCAGGGCTTGAATAATTTCAGAAACATGCTTAAAGTCATCTAGCCAGGCAGTGCAAGAGCAACTCAGATTAAAAAACTCGTCCTTCTAATGGCCCAGATCTTGCCATCAGTATTTGATGAGCTCTCCTCTCCCTCTGAAACAAGTGACTAATCACAAAACTGAAAGTTGAAGAGTCTCATTCTAGAGAGGAAAGACCTCTCCTCGAAAATGCGTGGTCAGTGCCTTTCTCAGGGCTGGGCCCTTTATCTCCAAGTGCAACAGCACTTAATCAGTTTGACTCTGCTTTTTCTACCAGCAAGTAATTTCAGTGCCATTTCCATTTTCTGTTCTGGCCAAGAGTGTCCTGCTCTTTGTATTTATCACCCTTATGTGCATTGGTGCCATAATAATTTTGGTTTTGTTTCCAGACAAATTTCCAAAGGTGACATTAACTGCAACTTTTTGATAGCCACAATGACAGGAGAGGAAATAAAATATCAAGTATGCTCTTTTTATTATGCTTTAAAGCACTATAAATTTGTATTCATTGCAGAGGGCTTGTGGGCTGTAGCTAAAGCTATAAGCTTCCAACTCTGTTGCTATCTGACTCTAGAGGATGCAAGAGAGGCTTTTGTTTTTCCATTTCAATATGCTTTATAATTCAACAAAAATTTCTCCTCACGTTGCTTCCTGGATTTCATAAAAACTTAAATGGAAAATATTAAGTAGCTTAATAGCAAAGCACCACGAAGTAGCATGCTTGGAATAACATTTTTAAAATATAGTCTCATTATATTAAATAAGTCTCATTATTGTAATTATGCTGCTACAAGTACAGTGAATGACATATCACGTCATTATTTAATTTTATGGAAAAAGCTTTCTAAATTGTTGACAGATAACACCAGATTCTCTTTTTATTTTGCCTAAATTGCAGCCTGTGCTAAGGTTTTGTCTTTTACTTTAATATTTCTTAAAATGTACTTATCCTTTAGGATACAACTTGATAATACTTTATTTCAGCATAAGATAAACCAGTAATTGCTTGGAAGACAGGTTTGACAGCACTGAAACTTTTGTGTTCTAGGGTGGCAATAAATTTAGTTGTCACTTTTTAAAATGCCTTAAAGAACTCTGTAGAGTATGATATTATGCAGCTATTAAAAGCATGTTTGTGAATAATATGTAATGACACGAAAAAATGCTCATGATGTAAGTAAAATGGGTAGGCTATAAAACTCCATGTATGACCTAATCTCACATAGATATTTTTTAAATATTAAAAATATGCCAAAATGTCAAGACTGGTTTCTCTAAATGGCGGGGGGAGGGTTGAGAATGATTTTTGTCAGTTTCAAAATGAGGTCTCCTTGTGTTGCCCAGGCTGGTCTTGAACTCCTGGACTCAAGTGATTCTCCCACCTCGGCCTCCCAAAGTGCTGGGATTATAGGCGTGAGCCACCATGCCTCGCTGCAACTGTTTTAATTGAAAAAAAAAGGTTTTGGATGGGCACAGTGGCTCATGCCTGTAATCCTAGCACTTTGGGAGGCCGAGGTGGGCAGATCACCTGTGGTCAGGAGTTTGAGACCAGCCTGGCCAATGTGGCGAAACCCCGTCTCTACTAAAAATACAAAAATTAGCCAGGCTTGGTGGCAGGCGCCTGTAATCCCAGCTACTTGGGAGGCTTAGGCAGGAAAATCGCTTGAACCCGGGAGGCGGAGGTTGCAGTGAGCCGAGATCGTGCCATTCCACTCCAGCCTGGGCAACAAGAGCAAAACTCTGTCTAAAAAAAAAAAAAAAGAAAAAGAAAAAAAGTTTTTTGTTTTAGGGGGTTTGGGGGTTTTCTTTTCTTTCTTTCTTTCTTTTTTTTTTTTCTTTTTTTTAATGAGACAAGGTATTGCTCTATTACCCAGGCTGGAGTACAGTGGCATGAATACAACTCACTGCATCCTCAACCTCCCAGACTCAAGCACTCCTCCCACCTCAGCCTCCCGAGAAGCTGGGACTACAGCCGTGCACCACCACACCTGTCTACTTATTTGTATTTTTTGTAGAGATGGAGTTTCGCCATGTTGCCCAGGCTGGTCTTTAACTCCTGGACTCAAGTAATTTGCTAGCCTCAGCCTCCCAAAGTGCTAAGATTACAGGCATGAGCCACTGCACTCAACCAAAGTTACTATTTTAAAAGTTCCTTTGAATGAGTGAGTGGCAGGTGCTACAGTGTGACCCTGACTGTAATGCAGTAAAGCCTAAACAAGCTGCTAGCATCTTATTCTATGGATGGTTTCATGCCAAAGATACCAAGCATCTCCAAAGCCTATGGTAAAGACAATGGTCTGGGCTCTTTTCTATCCTTCTTCTTCCAGGAACTCCACCTGTACCTCTGCCACTCCAGGCAAATTAGTCTGTCCTGTCAGGACCTGCTTGGACTGTTCTTTCTATTTACATTGCCACTGTGAGGTTGATTCCCTTCTTCAGGATGGCTGAAAAGATCAGTTGAGATCTCCTTTTGAAAATTCAGGGGGCCAGGCGCAATGGCTCACGCCTGTAATCCCAGCACTTTGGGAGGCTGAGGCGGGTGGATCACCTAAGGTCAGGAGTTCGAGACCAGCCTGGCCAACATGGTGAAACCCTGTCTCTACTAAAAAATACAAAAACTAGCCAGGCGTAGTGGCAGGAGCCTGTAATCCCACCTACTCGGGCGGGAGAATTGCTTGAACCCGACAGGTGGAGGTTGCAGTGAGCCGAGATCGCACCATCACACTCCAGCTTGGGGGACAAGAGCGAGACTTCATCTCAAAAAAAAAAAGGGAGGTAGTCCAGGCACAGTGGCTCATGTCTGTAATCCCAGCACTTTGGGAGGCCGAGGCAGGAGGATCACTTGAGGCCAAGAATTTGAGACCAGCCAGAGCAACATAGCAAGACCCTGCTTCTACAAAAAATTTAAAAATTAGTGAGGTGTGGTGTGACAAGCCTGTAGTCCTAGCTGCTCAGGAGGCCGAGATGGGAGGATCACTTGAGTCCAGGAGCTATAATCACACCACTGTATTCCAGCCTGGGCAACAGAGTGAGACCCTATCTCTAAAAAAAAAAAAGAAAAGAAAAAAATATCAAGGAAGTAGTTGTTTAATAGGTATAAAGTTTTAGATTTTCAAGGTAAAAACATTCTAGGGGTCTGTTTCATGACAATATAAAAGTGAATTACTGAACTGTACACTTAAAAATGGTTAAGGTCCAGGCCAGGCTTGGTGGCTCTCGCCTGTAATCCCAGCACTTCGGGAGGCCAAGGTGGGCAGATCACGAGGTCAAGAGATCGAGACCATCCTGGCCAACATGGTGAAACCCCGTCTCTACTAAAAATACAAAAATTAGCTGGGTGAGGTCGCGCGCGCCTGTAGTCCTAGCTACTCAGGAGGCTGAGGCAGGAGAATCACTTGAACCCAGGAGGTGGAGATTGCAGTGAGCCGAGATTGTGCCACTGCACTCCAGCCTGGGCGACAGAGCGAGACTCCATCCCCACCCCCGTAAAAAAAATGGTTAAGGTCCAGACACATGCCTTACAACTGTAACCCCAGCACTTTGGGAGTCTGATGTGACAGGATCACTTAAGCCCAGGAGGTCAAGGCTGCAGTGAGCCATGATCATGCCACTGCACTCCAGCCTGGGTGACAGGCTGAGATCCTGTCTAAAATAATAATAATAAGAAGAAGTAAATAAAAATAAAAGTGGTCAAGATAAGTCAGGCACAGTGGTGTGTATCTGTATTCCCAGTTACTCAGAAGGCTAAGGCAAGAGGATCACATGAGCCCAGAAGTTTGAGACTATAATGTACTATGATAGCACCTGTGAATAACCACTGCACTTCAGTCTAGGCAAAATAGCAAGACCTCCTCTCTTTTAAAAAATGGTTAAGACAGTAAGATTTATGTGTTTTTTACCACAGTTTTTTTTTAGAAAGAAAAGTTTCTAAAAATTCAGTACAGAGGCTCCAACAGAACAGAAGAAACCCAATGAACCGGGACATACATTGATAAGTTTGTGAAGGGGATCAGAATATGCCACCCCCAAATATACCACTTTGGTATAAGGAATATTTTGAGCTGAAGGCAATTAAGAAATAGTGGACACAGGAAGAACTTTTGCTGTCTTCCTTTCTGCCTAAAACCAGTGCATAAGTTTCCCTTTGTACAGGTAACACAGGTTTCCATTTATAAAGATATGTTTCTCTCTAGTACCAGGAGAGGAGAACAAATTTAACCACCAGACTATCTTATCACTGGAGATGACACTGAATTGAGTCTGCATAACAAACTTGGGAGCTTATTTGGAGGTTCTAAAAGGGGAGCACAGCTACTCTTATACCCTTGACCAAGACCAGTCCTTCTTTATTGGGGATGGTCATCCTCTTCCACCAAGTGTGCACTTCGAGAGGGATGCACGTGGAGTGGTGAGGGAGGAAGGGGACACCCGCCTAGACATCCAGATCAGCTGAATCAACCCTGGCAATCAATGGGGTGAGAGATGTCACAACCAGACCGCCCTCACATCCTGCATAACAAACTTTACTTAACAAGCCTTGTCTACTATACATTTCCTAGTCACCTTCCCACAATTTACTGCCCCTAGAAGCCCAAACCACCTCACTTTCCTTTGTCTAGTCACTTCTCTACAATTTATCACCCTTTGTTAAAATGGTATACAAGCTCTGAACTGCTTCTTTGGGTTTTTAATTCTTTTCTGTGAAGCCTCTGTGTGCTCGTGAAATAAATCTTTTTTCTCCTGTTAATCTGTCTTTTGTCAGTTCAGTTTGCAAGCCCCAGCTTCCAAATTTAAGAGGGTACACAGGAACTTTTTCCTCCCCTACATTACTTTGATGTCTCTGTGTACCATTGCAGTGGTGTATCTATGCTGGCATCTATAGTAGATCAATTTTTAGTACTCTCTTTTTCAATATGACCAGAATAATTTCAGTAATATCATGAAATGAAACAAAAACTGCAGATGGTGAGGTGTTTTTTGTTTGTTTGTTTGTTTTAGAGTCTCCTTCTATTGCCCAGACTGGAGTACAGTGGCATGATTGTGGTTCACTGCAGCCTCAATGTCCTGGGCTCCGTCTCACATCTCAGCCTCCCAAGTAGCTTGGACTACATGCATGTGCTGCCACACCTGGCTAATTTTTACAGACAGGGTCTCACTATGTTACCCTGGCTGGTCTTGGACTCCTGCACTCAAGCAATCCTCCTGTCTCAGCCTCCCAAAGTGCTGGGATTTCAAGTGTGAGTCACCACACTGAGGCATGAGCTACCACAGAATTTTTTTTTAATTGAACCTCATAATATATAATTGTGCCAGGAAACTAAATTAAAAATAAATGAGTAATATATATCCACAGTACAAAAAAAGAAAAAATGGACAATGATTTCCTCACAGTTTTTATATCTAACAAATTTGACCATAGAGCTCTTGGTTACAGTATGACATAATAATATTTTATGCAAATAATTGTCCAGCAATTAATAACTAAATTTTAATAAAACTGAAATGTCTGCAGAAGGTACAATTCAGGCAACTAGTAAATCACGTCATTGCCATAATGCCTTTACTTCTTGATTCAGTTTGTAGTTTTAAAACAGAGCATTAAAAAAACTTTAAAAAATTTTTTTCCTTCCTCTTTTTTTTTTTTTTTTTTGAGACAAGGTCTTGCTCTGTCACCCAGGCTCCGGAGTGCAGTGGCATAATCACACCTCACTGCAGTCTCAAAGTCCCAGGGTCAAGTGATCCTCCCACCTCAGCTTCCCAAGTAGCTGGGACTACAGGTACAAGCCACCATGCCCAGCAATTTTTTTTTTTTTTTTTGTAGAGACAGTCTCACTATGTTGTCCAGTCTGGTCTTGAACTATTGGGCTCAAGTGATCCTCCTGCCTCAGCTCCCAAAGTGATCATTTTTTTAAAATAACTTTTAGGCCAGGCATCATGGCTCATGCCTGTAATCCTAGCACTTTGAGAGGCCGAGGCAGGTGAATCATCTGAGATCAGGAGTTCAAGACCAGCCTGGCCAACATGGCAAGACCCTGTCTCTACTAAAAATACAAAAATTAGCTGGGCGTGGTGATGCATCCCTGTAATCCCAGCTACCGGGGAGGCTGAGGCAGGAGAATCACTTGAACCCGGGAGGCGGAAGTTGCAGTGAGCCGAGAGCGTGCCACTGCACTCCAGTCTGGGTGACAGAGTGAGACTCCGTCTCAAAAAAAAAAAAAAATTAATGTAAAAAATATCCAAATTCAGCCAAAAATTTCATCTATGGACTAAAATTTACAATTGCCAAAGGAAAAAAAAATAGTACACCTTGAAGCACTTTTTGTTTCACTGTTTAAAATTTTAAAAAACTAAAAATTCCAAGAGAGAATATGGAATAAAGAAGTTGAAATGACAAGTTCTGCTTCTTTATTTTGCCATGGTTGTGCTATCATTATGTATTTTAAATCTGTTGTTTGAATGCAGGCACATGTAGATCACAATGGGAAAATGCAAGCTGTGCCAGTGTTTTGGAGCCATTATCAACTTAATCTCAAGAGAAAGCATATCTGAATCAACACATGGCATCGGGGCATCTTTATAATTGGGAGTTTTTTCAGTTATCTTCAATGTAAAATACATTGTCTATTAAAGAGAAGTAACAAAAATTAAAATAAGAATACTTAGCTTTTATGTAAAATACATTGTCTATTTAAAAGTAGATTATACATATTCATAAAACTACAGCTCATTATAATCACAGTAATTGTTCACAACTGAAACCAAAACCAACAAGAGGTCTCTTGAGGGGAGGAGTATTTCATCATTGACTTGAGAATTGCTGGCACATGGTGCCAACAAAAAGCAGAAGGGCTTTAGTTGGTTTTATTATCGTTTTTAAATTCCCTACAGACAGTAGTCCCTTTATTGCCTATACCTAGGTAGACTGCTCCCTACTACACGGCCTTTCGTCATACTTCCATTCCATAGTTAAGCTCAGCAAGGTTGGTTTTGTTAATTCCATAATGCTTTATAATGCATTCAGGTTTTACTAGGGAAACACTGGGGATTCATTTTCTTTTAATGAACAAATCTAAAGCTCCTTATGCAGTAAAAATAAGCACCCAGTGACTTATTCTGCATATTCAATTTTCCTAAATGGAAGAAACTCAATAGGAAAAGAATTAGAAAAAGATACAAAAATTGAAAGTGTAAATTGCTGGAGGATCCAGACAGTGTCCATGAGTGAGGAGGACAGAGGAGAAAGGTGTGGAGCTGGGATGCAATGCCCTGCCAAAAGCGGGCAGGTGGTGCTGGGAGTAAGCCACTACGCAGACACCTCGAACAGTATCCCTGTTGGGACATGGGCCCAGTGTACCCAGATCTGCTAATTTTTTCATGAGGAGCCGATAATCTAGATGGCTAAGATTTCTGACTTCTAAATGTTGGAAATTAATTCAAACTCTAGAAAACACTGCTTCACAAACAAAACACATTCACAGCTGCAGTGAGCCCCCAGGCTACCAATTTCCTAATGAAAAATGCAAAAGTAGCAGCTGAACAAGTTTAAAGAGGTTGAGAAAATATGCTGTCTTATCTGATCCTTTTCCTTTCCTAAAATGTGGCATTTTGGAAAAATCCAGATACACTTACATCATAGCCACAATTATCTGCAGTTTAATGAGAAAAGTAGCATAATTAGAGTAGGTAATTGGGAGTGACCTGAATGTCCACAGCAGCCCTTTCTCTTAAATCAGGGCCAACAATGGTGTCACCCAGATGCTGTTGACTAACTGATGTACAACAGATTTACTTAACCACTGGCAAACCACATTTCCTTTTCCAGGGCAATAACTTAAAATATTATGTATTTCCCTTTGTTGCAAAGAGAGGAAATACTTCTTCCTAGACTCAGGGCAGCTGTGACCCGTCCTCCCAGAGAAATCATTAAACCACAAGGATTCAGACAGAGCCCAGAGCCCTGAAAACTTTGGCCACGCACTTTCCCGCAGCAGCCACAGGCACCGGCAACTTCAGAGAGGTGAGTGCTTGCTTTGCCCCCCAAAGCTTCACACCCCGCGCATGCCTTGTGTCTGAGCCAGTATATTGTAGTTAAGAAAACCAACCTAAAAATGCTTTGTATCTGGATCTCTTTTGAATTCGTATTTGGCATATTAAAAGTGAAGGTTTATTCAAATTAGAGATAAAACAGAAGCTGTTCCCCACATTTCTACAGGTAATTAGAACTTCGGAAATCTTAGTGGAAAAGATGGAGAACTAAGTCCTCCGCAGACTTTCCCACTAAGTATCCTCAAGAATCACTTTCTGCATCGGGCAAAACAGAATTAGAAGCAAGAATCTAGACAAGGCTTCGTCCTCATTTAGAAGCCTTTAAGAATTCTCTGCTTTAAGTGGATGAAAACGTCCCTGTATGGCTGGGTTGCCATGGTTCCTCGCTGTGACCCCCAGGGCTACTGAGCCTGCCATGTGAGTCCATTTCAGTCTCTGGAAAAAGCTTTGTGTGTCTCCAGCCTCACAGTTTAACCAAGTAAGGGCCTCCTAAGTCTAATCTCCAATGTGACTACCCTGAAGAGCCAGCCCTAAGAAAGGCATTTACACAAGATAGTCATCACCCTGTATGACAGGAGGAAAAAAATTGAAGTGTCTTTGTTTTTCATAAATCAGCTTCTTTGTAAGAAAGTGTCCTTTTGTATATCTCTCTTCCAATGCTTTTGTTCCGGATAGATTTTTTTTTTCAAACAACAACAAAAAGATTAGAATGATCACTGACAAAAATTAATATGACTTGATGATATAATATTCTCCCAAATGTCTATTTCTAAAATTTCTATCATCAGAGTTTTTAGATGTTTGGGAGAAATGTGCTATTTAACGTCATGCAAGAAAGAGAAAGAATAATGCTAACCTTAATGATATCAAAAGATGAAAGGCCAAGTTGGCAACCCCAATTTTTCTCATGGGGTTGATGGGAGGGGAGGGGATGACCCACTTAAAATCGCCCAAACCTTTCTCACTATTAAAGCTTCATTAGATTAATATAAATCTTCTCTTTTACAATGTAATATCTTCAAAAGAACAGTTTTCTAATAGTGATAGTTCAAGCATTAGTGGAGAAATGCTATTTGTATGAAATGGGAGATCCTAGTCCCCAGAATAATATGATAGCGGCATTGTGTATCTTCCATCTCTGAGCCCAGTTGGCCCTATAGACCTGCTTGCACACATTCTTCTGTCAAAAACCTGTTGAGACCAGGCATGGTGGCCCATACCTGTAATCCCGGCATTTTGGGAGGCTGAGGCAGGAGGATTACTTGAGCCCAGGAGTTTAAGACCTGCCTGCGCAATACAGTGAGACCCTGTCTCTATTTTTATTTCGAGATGGAGTCTTGCTCTGTCGCCCAGACTGGAGTGCAGTGGCACTATCTTGGCTCACTGCAACCTCCACCTCCTGGTTCAAGCAGGTCTCCTGCCTCAGCCTCCCAAGTAGCTGGGGACTACAGGTGCACGCCACCACTTCTGGCTAATTTTTGTATTTTTAGTAGAGACAGGGTTTCACCATATTGGTCAGGCTGGTCTTGAACTCCAGACCTCAGGTGATCCACCCACCTCCACCTCCCAAAGTGCTAGGATTACAGGCATGAGCCACCGCACCCAGCTCCTGTCTCTATTTTTAAAAATAAAAATAATATGAAAAGAAACCCCTTGAAATACTAGCCATAACAGCCTTCAGAAAATTTGCAAATGGTTTTTTAGAAAGTGGCAAAACTGTCCAGAAATCCTTCTACCTGGCAGAAGTTTTGCTATCCCTTCCCCTCATACACTCAATTCTATAAATATCTCTTCCAATAAGGAGATGGATAGCCCAATGGTTAAGTTTCTTAAGATAATGGTATTTGAAGTCAGAACGTCTGGAGCCAAACCCCAACTCTGCCACTTACACAAAAGGCTCTCTTAATAGATCTCCAATTAACTGACCCACCAGCTTAACCAATGCACCAAACAGCCTGGCTGGTATCTACTATACCCTTAATGCTCAGAGGTGGCAGGTGGCTTATCTCTAGTACACCTGAGCACTTCAGCTACTTTTGCATAACAGATCAACTGCAAGTCATGCCTTAGGGTGTCAAAGGGAAGCTCTTCAAACATACCTCAAACTATAAGGCACATTTGCAGAGATATTTTATTTATTATTCCTTTTATTTATTGTTTCTTAGACTAATTTCAAAGCTAAGCAAGCATATGTTTTAATTGTTTTAGGTGGTGGCTAAAACATAAAAATGCTTACACTTTCCTGGGTTTCAGTGTGTACTGTGCTTAAACTATGCGTGGCACATAGGACAATCCTTGATCAATGTCATTTCTCTTGTCGCTTTTCATATTCTTTGCTACTCAATGGTTCCTGCTCTATAGCCAAAAATAAACTCATGTAAAGTAACCAAAACTTCCTGAGATTCTCCTCAATAATGGCTTTTACAGATGAAATTGTGATTTTGTGGATTACAGAACATAGTATAGACTATAGTAAATACTAATACTGCTAACGCAAAGGAATGGAAACTAGCAGAGCTCTACTAAGTACCCCCTTCACTGACGACATCTATTCATCCGGTCTCACAAAACACTGAAAAATATGCCAAGATTGAATCAAGGGATTGCGGGTAGGTGTGGAAGCCTATACATTCTTATAGGGCAGAGGGATATTTGTAGTTTGAAAAAGTGCACCCCCTACCCCCGACCTCCACCGTGAGAATTCCTGCTTTAGATTTCCTAGACTTGGTCTTTAACAGCGGAAAAAAACAAAATCCTGTGCTTCTCTGGCAGCTGACCTTTCATGGCCTAACAATGTGCAATTTCAGGTATCACATGGTTGAGCTGAAGTTAGACCATACAAAAATAAAGATAGCGGCCAGGTGTGGTGGCTCACACCTGTAATCCCAGCACTTTGGGAGGCCGAGGCGGGCGGATCACGAGGTCAGGAGATCGAGACCATCCTGGCTAACATGGTGAAACCCCGTCTCTACTAAAATACAAAAAAAAATTAGCCGGGCGTGGTGGCGGGCGCCTGCAGTCCCAGCTACTCGGGAGGCTAAGGCAGGAGAATGGCGTTAACCCAGAAGGCGGAGCTTGCAGTGAGCCGAGATCGTGCCACTGCACTCCATCCTGGGCAACAGAGCGAGACTCCGTCTCAAAAAAAAATAATAATAAAAAATAAAATTAAAAAAATAAAGATAGCTAGCCGTCAGAGGTAAGCTCACCACATCAAGGCATGCCTACCTTCAAGCTCCATGCTTCTCATCCCTTGAATTTATGAATTCTGAGTCCTGCCTCAGGTACACAGATGTGCCCACATCTGCCAGGCCCACAAATGGTGACCAGGGATAAAAATCAAACCTTTAGGCCGGGCACTTTGGGAGACCGAGGTGGGTCAGAAATTCGAGACCAGCCTGGCCAATGTGGTGAAACCCCGTCTCTAATAAAAATACAGAAAAATTAGCTGGGCATGGTGGCGCATGCCTGTAATCCCAGCTACTTGGGAGGCTGACGCAGGATAATTCCTTGAACACGGGAGGCGGAGGTTGCAGTGAACCGTGATCACACCACTGCACTCCAGCCTGGGCAACAGCGAGACTCCGTCTCAAAAAAAAAAAAAAAAAAAAAAAAAATCAAGTCTTTAAGGCCAGGCGTGGTGGTTCATGCCTGTAATCCCAGCACTTTGGGAGACTGAGGCGGGTGGATCACCTGAGGTCAGGAATTCAAGACTAGCCGGGCCAACGTGGTGAAACCCCGTATCTACTAAAAATACAAAAATTAACCGGGCGTGGTGGTAGGTGCCTGTAGTCTCAGCTACTCCAGAGGCTGAGGCAGGAGAATCACTTGAACCTGGGAGGCGGAGGTTGCAGTGAGCCGAGATTGTGCCATTGCACTCCAGCCTGGGCGACAGAGCGAGACTCCGACTCAAAAAAAATAAATAAAAATAAATAAACGTTAAAATTCACACTTAACCAATATGTGATTCCATCTCTTCACTATCAGGACACACTGAATCACAGAAAGTAAAATCTCCTGATGAGCCTTATACCATGCATTCGAAGAACATTCCATCTCTGCTAATTTAACTTGCCTTTTCATAAGCAAAAGCCTACCCAGACAAAGGAGGGCTGGGTGACCCCCATCCATTACCGATTTTCAGTCTGCAGCAGAACAGCTAGTAGCAGTGGTTTCCATTCAAAAAACAAACTTCTTACACAAACATAGGCTGGTCGAAAGAATTAATTTGTACAGTATGTTCATTGCTTACTTTTCTCCAGGATTGCATGATGAATTTTTATGGAGGGGGGTGGGGGAAGGGAAGAACCACATTCAAAACCCAACATCATTCTTCTCTACACTGTCATTTCAAAAGCCAGATAAAAGTGGAATGAGGAATGCAGCCGTTCTGAACACCACCCTCCATTTCATTCTGGAACCGGGAAGGTACACCCAGGCATGACAATAGCTTCTCTCCTCACAGAAATTTAACTGGTAAGTGCTTTCCTGTTTGTTTTCCTCAAACTGACACATTTACAGTGGACCTGATGAGGATTCCTGCAGATGATTTATTTACAAAACAGCATTTGACTAACTACCAGCTGGCAAAAAAGGAAAAGGACTCCTGATCGTTTACAAAATGCTCTGTCTGCAGATTCATATTTTTGGTCTTGGCAAAAGTGTTTAGGGACGATCCTACAGGGTTCGCTACAGCTGCTGATTAATCCTAAAACACTGCAAGAGAGAAAATGAGCATGTTGCTGGGGTGGGCGGACAAAGAACTTTCAGTAATTTTCTCAGCTTTTACCTACATAATTACAGCTCATAAATCTGTCTTTTAAGGAGTTGTGATCTAGAAATAGTCAAACATCATTTGTGGAAGGCTCACTGTTGAGAAACTAGTAGAAAAAAATGGTACTCCGAGATGAAAGCTGATATTGCCCTCTTTAGATTACAAGGTGGGAAAAAAGTTATAAATTGAGTTGTAATGCAGCTCCCCGCCACTGGCTCCCCATTTTTACGATGAAAGGCTTGTGGTTTGTTGGGCCTTCCCATTTGTTTGTTGTTGTTGCCTTTTTGAATCTCGCTATCAATTTCTTGTTAGAATAATTGGTATCTGGGCTCTCCCAACAAGGGGTAGATGGCTAAATGCAGGGAAGACTGTGGGAGACAAGGGTTCAGCTATTCAATTATTCCTTTTCTAGTCAGAAACTGTGAGCACCAATTGTCTTTTATCTTTTCCTCCAAAAGAAAGCTGATGAAAACCAAATCAAGTTTGATAACAGGACTTTCACTGGCAATAATGCTCTTAAATTGCCTTTTTCACTTAAGGCAGACTCATTCACCCAAGAATCCACAAACCTGTTGTTAAATTAATCCGATGGTAATTTTGTCTTGTTAAAAAAAAAAAGGCCAAGGGACCTTTCCTGGGTCTCAAGTTATAAGTAATTATTCTTAGTGAATAATTCTCATCATATTTGTACATCTTCCAGACACTAGATTATTATGTTTTTCATGGCCTATTTTATGATTTTATCTGATTTAAGTCATTTAGTTTATAAAAGGTCATACATTTTCTGTTACTTGACTGCTAATTGTCATGTCCCTGAGATAAATATTTAATAACAGATCATGTTAACCAGAATGATAATCATGTAAAAAATAAATGAAGTAGAAAAGATTGAATATGCAAAACTGATAATAGATGTGTTACTCTGATGGTGAGATTATAGATGTGTCAGGGAGAAAAAACTTCTCCTGTTCCCTCTTAGATTTGTTATCAGGCACCAGCAAATGAAATTGACAGAAGAAAGATTAGCAAGAGAAAACAAAATTTAATTTTATGTATGTAGATATGGGCGTTCCCAAGTAAATGTGACTCAGAGGTTGCTGAGTGAGCTATGATTGTGCCACTGCATTCCAGCCTGGGCAACCAGAACCTAACCCTAGCTTAAAAAAAAAAAAAAAAAAAAGTGACTCAGATGGGTAGTTAGAATTTAGGGCTTATATGCCATCTTTTTTTCTTTTTCTTTTTTTAATGTGTGTGTTTTTTTGTTTTTTGTTTTGTTTTATATATGCCATCTTAATAGGAGAATAGGAGAAATGGAAGAGAAGGGCACTTACGGGAAAACAAGTGATTTTTGGAAACATAAATGGGTCCTTAGGAGAACAGACTGGTGATATGATAGTTTTAGTGACAGTAACTGTTCAGGCATGGTGTGGAGACTTCTCATCTCTGGTGATAAGATATGGCCAGGAGTTCGAGACCAGCCTTTAGTAGAGACTCTGTCTCTACTAAAAATACAAAAATTAGCCAGAAGTGGTGGCATGTGCCTGTAGTCCCAGCTATTTGGGAGGCTAAGACAGGAAAATTGCTTGAACCCGGGAGGCGGAGGCTGCGGTGAGCTAAGATCGTGCCACTGCACTCTAGCCTGGGAGACAGAGCAAGACTCCGTCTCAAAACACAAAACAAAACAAAAAATAACTGAATGAATTGGGTATAGTTCCTCCATGTTAAGTGCTTTACGTAACTGGATACAGTGGAGACCAATATTCAACCAAAAGTGATCGCTATAAACACATAAACTATCATCATTATGAAAGTGCTTGAGGAACACTCGTGGGTGGGTCAGGCATGGGATAAAGGCAGAGTTAATCTGAAAAAGAAAGGAAAAGAAAAGCCTTCATGGAGAATGAGTTTGAAAGGAGGTAGACAACCTGGCAGCTTGAAAAAGGTGGAGAATCCAAGCAGGAATATATATGTGCCTGCTTGAATTTTCATTAGGACCAAATTGTCCCTAGGCATGAAAAATAATAAAATACAAAGTTGAATTGACGTTAAATCATTGAACCTAGAAAAAAATAGCATATAGATATGATATCCTTAATTTTTCACAAAACTTTCTCTTTAACGGTTTATAATGATAAACCTCTAATTGAGTGGAAAAATCTGGCAATGAAACATTTTACTTAATTGTATAAGTGAGAGTTGACAGAGCTTTTTCTTTATTCAGTTGTGCCATATAAAAATGCTATTTGCAGGCCGGGCACGGTGGCTCATGCGTGTAATCCGAGCATTTTGGGAGGCTGAGGCAGACTGATCACCTGAGTTCGGGAGTTTGAGACCAGCCTGACCAACATGGAGAAACCCCGTCTCTACTAACAATACAAAAAAATTAGCCCAGTGTGGTGGCACATGCCTGTAACCCCAGCTACTTGGGAAGCTGAGGCAGGAGAATCGCTTGAACCTGGAAGGCGGAGGTTGCAGTAAGCCAAGATTGTGCCATTGCACTCCAGCCTGGGCAATAAGAGTGAAACTCTGTCTCAAAAAAAAAAAAAAGAGTAAAAATGCTATTTGCTATTCACAATAGCAAAGACCTGGAATCAACCTAACTGCCCATCAATAATAGACTGGATAAAGAAAGTGTGGCTCATATACACCATGGAATACTGTGCAGCCATGAAAAGGAATTAGATCATGTCCTTTGCAGGGACATGGATGGAGCTGGAAGCCATTATCCTCAGCAGACTAATACAGGAACAGAAAACGAAACACAGGGCCAGGCATGGTGGCTTAGGCCTGTAATCCCAGCACTTTGGGAGGCTGAGCAGGCAGATCACCTGAGCCTGGCCGACATGGTGAAACCCCGTCTCTACTAAAAATACAAAAATTAGCCAGTCATGGTGGCGCACACCTGTAGTCCCAGCTACTTGGGAGGCTGAGGCACGAGAATTGCTTGAACCTGGGAGGCAGAGGTTGCAGTGAGCCGAGATTATGCCACTGCCCTCCAGTCTGGGTGACAGAGTGAGACTCTGTCTCTGAAAAAAAAAAAAAGAAAGAAAAGAAAGAAAAGGGCCGGGCGCAGTGGCTCACGCCTGTAATCCCAGCACTTTGGGAGGCCGAGGCGGGTGGATCATGAGGTCAGGAAATCGAGACCATCCTGGCTAACACAGTGAAACTCCGTCTCTACTAAAAATACAAAAAATTAGCCGGGCATCGTGGCGGGCGCCTGTAGTCCCAGCTACTCGGGAGGCTGAGGCAGGAGAATGGCGTGAACCCGGGAGGCGGAGCTTGCAGTGAGCCGAGATCATGCCACTGCACTCCAGCCTGGGCAACACAGCAAGACTCCGTCTCAAAAAAAAAAAAAAAAAAAGAAAGAAAAGAAAACCAAACACGGCATGTTCTCACTTATAAGTAAGAACTGAATGATGAGAACACATGGACACGTGGGGGTAACAACACACTGGGGGCATGTGGGAGGGCTAGGGGAAAGAGAGCATCAGAAAGAATAGCTAACGGATGCTGGGCTTAATACCTAGGTGATGGGTTGATTCGTGCAGCAAACCACCCTGACACACATTTACCTATGTAACAAACCTGTACATCCTGCACTTGTATCCCAGAACTTAAAATAAAAGTTGAAAAAACAAACAACAACAAAAAAGTGCTTTTTTTTTTTTTGGAGACAGAGTCTTACTCTGTCACCCAGGCTGAAGTGCAGTGGCTGCGATCTCAGCTCACTGCAACCTCTACCTCCTAGGTTCAAGCGATTCTCACACTTCAGCCATTAGAGTAGCTGGGATTACAGGCGTGTACCACCATGCCTGGCTAATTTTTGTATTTTTAGTAGAAACGGAGTTTCACCATGTTGGCCAGGCTGGTCTCCGACTCCTGGCCTCAAGTTATCCAACCACGTCAGCCTCCCAAAGTGTTCAGATTACAGGTGTGAGTCACCGAGCCTGGCTGTGACCTTGACCATTTTTGATCTAACAAAATGGCAGTTTCTTATGCTTTGACATAAAAATGGATCAAAATGTAATAAAAATAGAAGGCTGGGCCTAATGGCCCACACCTGTAGTCCCAACACTTTGGGTGGCCAAGATGGGAGGATTGCTTGAGCCCAAGAGTTCGAGACCAGCCTGGGCACCGTAGTGAGTCCTTGTTTCTACCAAAAATTTAAGAATTAGCCAGGCATGGTAGTGCATGCCTGTAGTCCCAGCTACTTAGGGAGCTGAGGCAGGAGGTCCTAGTTACTTAGGAAGCTGAGGCAGGAGGATTGTTGGAGCCTGGAAGGTGGAGGCTGCAATGAGATGTGATCATGCCACTGCATTCTAGCCTGAATGACAGAGTGAGACCCTGCCTGGAAAAAAAAAAAAAGTTACATATATTTATATATGTAAATATTTGTCTCATTTTATATAAATATTTGTTTTGTGTATTTCTACACATTAAAACCATAGTAAGCATAACATTTGTTTGTTTATTTTTGAAACATGGCTCTCTCTGTTGCCCAGGCTGGAGTGCAGTAGTACTATCACAGTTCACTGTAACCTCGACCTTCTGGGCCCAAGTAATCCTCCCACTTCTGAGTAGCTAGGACTCTCAGGCATATACCACCATGCCTGGCTACTTTTTCGATTTTGTAGAGACGGAGGTCTCATTATGTTTCCCAGGCTGGTTTCAAACTCCTGGCCTCAAGCAATCCTCCCATCTCTGCCTCCCAAAAGGCAGGGATTACAGGCATGAGCCACCACACCCAGCCTAAACATAACATAGTTTTGTTGATTGAGGAAGCACTTCCTTCTTCTTTCACGAGACATTCATTGAGCACCTACTGAGCACTCTGCTCCTTGCTGAGATATAAGGATGAGTAAAAGTTATTCCTTGCCCTTGATGTTCTTAGTTTAGTAAGGGAGATGAGCACCTTAACAGATTATTACTCAGAGAGACTGTGTGTGCAGGTATTAAGAAGGAAGGCCCTGCCTGGGTGTGGTGGCTTACGTCTGTAATCCCAGCACTTTGAGGGGCCGAAGTGAGTAGATCACCTGAGGTCAGGAGTTCGAGACCAGCCTGACCAACATGGAGAAACTGTCTCTACTAAAAATACAAAATTAGCTGAGCATGGTGGCACATGCCTGTAATCTCAGCTACTTGGGATACTGAGGCAGAAGAATCGCTGGAACCCAGGAGCCAGAGGTTGCGGTGAGCCGAGAACACGCCATTGTACTCTAGCCCAGGCAACAACGGCAAAACTCCATCTCAAAAAAAAAAAAAAAAAAAAAAAAAAAAAAAGGCCCTGAGGTCAGACAGACCCAGATGTTTAGTCTGTTCTTCACCACTTTTGCTAAGTGCCAAAGCTCTCTTAGCCTTGTAGGAATAATAACAGTACCTCCCAGGATTCTTGTGAGAGTTAAATGTGACAATGCATGTGAAGTTGCTTAGCATTGTACCATACTTAACAAGTACTCAGGAAATGCTGAGTATTACTATATGTGTTAAGTGCTATTTACATAATTAGATGTGGTTGGTACTTGCTTCCTTTGAGTGGAATTAGGTCAACTGGTTTTAATTATAAGCAACAGGCCAGGCATGGTGTCTCATACCTGTAATCCCAGCACTCTGGGAGGCCAAGGCAGGTGGATCACCTAAGGTCAGGAGTTCGAGACCAGCCTGGCCAACATGGCGAAACCCTGTCTCTACTAAAAATACAAAATTAGCCAAGTGGGGTGGCACATGCTTGTTGTCCCAGCTACTCCAGAGGCTGAGGCAGGAGAATCACTTGAACCCTGTTGCAGTGAACCAAGATCATGCCACTGCACTCCAGCCTGGGCAACAGAGCAAGAGACTCTGTCTCAAAAAAAAAAAAAAAAATTATAAGCAACACATGACAGTGACAATGGTTTATAGTGAACTTGTTTGCTCCTCATACCAGTTTAGAGAAAAATCTCATCATCTTTTCCTAGAAATGGCAACTGTTGTCAGTCAGAAGTGCTGGTCCAAGGAAGTGGCTGAACAGATTGAACACACCTCTCAGGAGTGAGGCTGGCTTTTCTACGTCCTCAACATTCTTTTAATGCTTTTGATTAAAAAAAAAAAAAAAAAAGGGGCAGGGGGACTGAAACAGGAACTAATGGATTTGATGATAATCAAGAACTCAAATTCTCTTCTCCAGTTCACGTTTGTCTTCTCAGACAAAATAGTTATTTCCAAGATGCCCGGGCACGTGAATGCCTTTATCAAAACCTACTGAATAGTCTTTCCTTCAATAAATACTATTGAGCCCTACAGTTTGCCAGGCACTGTGCTAGGCTCTGGGAGTATGAAGGTAAGCAAAACCACAGGTTGGTGGCGGAGACAGACATTCTTGAAATAAGCCTCCACATATGTAGTAACAGTTGCTCTAAGTGAGGAGCTTAGAGCAGGGGCCCTGATTTAGGCTAGGGCATAGGTTTTTGGAGGCAGGGAAGAGTTCATTTAGGGAAGTAACATCTAAAAGTACCGCTTACCTTTTAGAAGAGCTCGCGATTTTCTCTTTAATTCCAAAACCACCAGCAAGTTTAGGAGATAAAAGCTTAGTCAAATAAATTTTTGGTTACTATATGGAAAATGCCATGTTGATATAAATTATTTGTTCTATCACCCAGCTGTATTGATAACATTAAACATGGCCTTTCCATTTGTTATTGTCCCCCAATGTGACTCTCATTTTATTAACTGTATTCAAAATAAAACCATCCACCTTTAGAATGATTTTATCCCTATTAACACACACATACAAATGCATACTTAATTACAGTTCTTTACATACAACAAACAAGTTGGGAAAAATTTAGATGGTAAAATGAAATGGTTTCTTTCTTGTCTGGGAGAGACTCCTTGTTCTGGAATGGTATTTCACAGATAAATATGGTGTTTCTCTATGATCTTCCTTTTGGGTTTTTGGTAGTTGAATGGGGAAGGGTGTATTTCAGCACACACTGAAAACTGCTTGTCTTGTAGGAAGGATTATAATACACCAAACAGGCCAGGCGCAGTGGCTCATGCCTGTAATCCCAGCACTTTAGGAGGCCGAGGCGGGCAGATCACCAGAGGTCAGGAGTTCGAGACCAGCCTGACCAACATGGAGAAACCCCATCTCTACTAAAAATACAAAATTAGCCGGGCATGGTGGCATATGCCTGTAATCCCAGCTAGTAGGGAGGCTGAGGCAGGAGAATCGCTTGAACCTGGGAGGTGGAGGTTGCGGGGAGCCGAGATCACGCCATTGCACTCCAGCCTGGGCAACAAGAGCGAAACTCCATCTCAAAAATAATAATAATAATAATAATAATACACCGAACACTGTGTAAAAGTGGCATTTTCACCTCACACCTAAAATCCCACCACTTTGGGAGGCCAAGGCAAGAAGATCACTTGAGCCCAGGAGTTCAAGACCAGCCTGAGCAACATAATAAGACCCTGTCTCTACCCCAAATTTAAAAAAAAAAAAAATTAGCCGGGTGTGGTGGTGAGCACCTGTAGTCCCAGCTACTGGGAAGGCTGAGGTGGGAGGACCACTTGAACCCAGGAGTTCGAGGCTGCAGTGAGCTATGATTGTGCTAGTGCACTCTAGCCTGGAGACAGACTCTGTTTCCAAAAAAGAAAGAAATAAAGTCGTATTTCGAGACTTCCTCAGAAATATGTTAGATTTCCCAAAATGCAGTAAGTTAAAAAAAAGTTTAGCTATTTTAACTTGTTATTTGAACATTTACAAGAATATGCACACATCTTTCAGCCTTAAATAAATAAAAGATTGATTTTTGAAAATAGAGACCTGTTTTCTAGGTATGGTAAGTGGAATCTGCTCAGAATCACTGGATGCTCTTTACTAATTTCCCACATTATGACCACTTCTTTTTAGTTATTTCTCAAGCAATCAGTAAATGATATATTCATCAAACTTAAGAGAGTAAACAAAATGTATCTCTTCCTAAGAAAAACAACTGATTGCTTCTTTAGCCAGTTGGATTACAGCAGGTCAGTGAGATCATAGCAAGTAGCCTGATTATGTTGTACTGATATTCATCACAAGAAATGAACTAATCTACACAAATCTTTTGCTGCAAAATAAATAAACTCCTTTGGTGGAACATTATCACAAGATCAGAATATGCCACTTTGTCAAGGATGGAATGAACACAGCGTAGCTTTACTGTAACAGCAGGAAACCATTATTTTGTGGCTCACAGCAGTCTTTCAGTTGATGTTTTCTCTCAGGATGAAACCCAGATCCAAAATGCCATCAAAAGTACCCACAAACCGGGTGCGGTGGCTCATGCCTGTAATCCCCGCTACTCAGGAGGCTGAGGGCAGAGGAATTGCTTGAACCCGGGAGGTTGAGGTTGCATTGAGCCGAGATCATGCCACTGCACTCTGGCCTGGGCGACAGAGCGAGACTCTGTCTCAAAAAAAACAAAAACAAAAACAAAAAACAAAAACGGAAAACAGTAACCACAAATGAGCTCTCTGATTAGAGCCATTGATCATTAAATTAGCTAGAAGCCCGAGAATTTGCTATGTTTCAGCAAAGTCATGTAAGTCATGTGAAATATTTCATAATACAATGTAATGAAAGAATCAAGTAAAGTCATAACAATGATATTGCACTTTTTTTTTTTTTTTTTTTTTGAGATGGAGTCTCGCTCTGTCGCCCAGGCTGGAGTGCAGTGGTGCGATCTCGGCTCACTGTAAGCTCCGCCTCCCGGGTTCACACCATTCTCCTGCCTCAGCCTCCCGAGTAGCTGGGACTACAAAGATGCCCGCCACCACGCCCGGCTAATTTTTTGTATTTTTAGTAAAGACGGGGTTTCACCATGTTAGCCAGGATGGTCTCGATCTCCTGACCTCGTGATCCGCCCGCCTCGGACTCCCAAAGTGCTGGGATTACAGGCGTGAGCCACTGCGCCCGGCCTGATATTGCACATTTATTGAGCTCTTACTATGATCCAGACACTGAGCTATGCCCTAACATATATTATCTTTTGTCATTCATACAATAAACCTAGAACAGTTTACTCATGGTTTCTTCCCCAGTTCCCTATATCATCGATGAAGGAACAGGAGCTGATTGTACCAAAACACTTATATGGTAAGCTTGATCAATGTATTTGATTTAGTATCTATGCTGGGCTGAGAAAAACATGCAAAGCAGTACCTACAAATAAGAAAACAGGAAGTAAGCTGGGCATGGTGGCACATGCCTGGAGTCCCAGCTACTTGGGAGGCTGAGGCTTCCCACGACCGCCCCTCACATTCATTAGTTCGCTAGATCAGATCGGAGAACTCGGGAAAATGGCGTACTTACAAGACTGCAGGTTTACTACAAGGGCCAGAACTCAGGAAGAGCCGGATGGAAGCGATGCACGGGACAAGGTCTGTGGGAAGGGGCGCGGAGCTTCCATGCCCTCTGGGCGCGCCACCATTTCCAGGACCTCCGTGTGTTCACCAGACCGGAAGCTCTGGTTTTTACGGAGGCTCATTACTTAGTCATGATTGATTAAACCACTGGCCATTGGAAATTAATGCAATCTCCAGCCCCCAGTCCTCCCCTGGAGGTGGAAGTTGGAAGCTGGGAAGCGGGCTGTGGACACGATTTGTAATGAATGCAAGACACCGGTGTTGGGCTGCTTTTTTTTTTTTTTTTTTTTTTTTTGAGACAGAGTCTCGCGCTTTTCGCCCAGGCTGGAGTGCAATGGCGCGATCTTGGCTCACTGCAAACCTCCACCTCCCGGATTCAAGGAGTTCTCCTGCCTCAGCCTCCCGAGTAGCTGGGATTACAGGCATGCGCCACCATGCCCGGCTAATTTTTTTTTTTTTTTTTGTAGTTTTAGAAGAGACTGGGTTTCACCATGTTGGTCAGGCTGGTCTTGAACTCCTGACCTCAAATGATCTGCCCGCCTCGGCCTCCCAAATGCTGGGATTACAGGTGTGAGCCACCGTGCCCGGCCTGGGCTCTTTCAAACGGAGCAAGGTTCAAGTTTGTGCCTACAAAGGGGGCCAAAACAGGGTTATCTAGGAGGGAGGAGGTCGATCTGGTAGCAAGAAAGAACTAGGGTGGAAGGTGAGTTTGGGAGGTGTCCGCAATAGGAAAGGAAACGCGCTGGAGTGGGTACAGTGGATGGAGGGGTGACAGGCTTTGAGGGGCTGGCAGCAGCTGAGGTCCACAGTGCCACGTGTACCGAGACACTGAGAGGAGCAGAGTTCTCCTCTTTTGTAGTAAGGTAAGCCGGCCGCCTGACCTGGATGGCTTGAAACCCAGCCCCCCGCCGCTGCCACCACCCACCTCCCCCATCCCCACCCGAATGAGGCGGGCGCCCTGGGCGAATAGCTATGACGCCATCCAGCCTTAACCAGGTTAGTGCGGAACGTGGTGGCGCGCCTGCAGCCCCAGCTACTCAAGAGGCTGAAGCAGGAGAATTGCTTGAGCCCAGGAGGTTGAAACTGCAGTGAACCATTATTGCGCCACTGCACTCCAGTCTGGGCAACTGAGCCAGACCTGTCTTTTAAAAACAAAGGGAAAAAACACACACAAAACCAAGGCTGTGATCCTATGATCTTTAGCCAATCTGACTCCACCCCGTTTCAAACAGTCTAAAGATTATTTTAAAAAATATATTTCATACCGTCTTCTCTCTATAGCCTCCATGTCACCCCATCCCTTCAAAAAACTTAGTAGAACCTAACAGAACCTTAGGGTTTCAGCGCTTACTGAATTTTAGACATCAACAAGTCCAATCACGTGTAATGTCTGATTTCCTGCTTAAAACCCCTCACTTTAAGGTTGCATCATTAAACATCTCCAAGTATGAGAAATGTACCACCCTCTGACATAGCTTTACAGTAGAATGAAATCTCCATAAGTTCTGTGTCCTACTCTCTCTCCAGGGCCTAGAATACATAGTAGGTGCTGAATAAATAATTCATTTAATTTAGTTTTTAAATGTTTAACAACTATAATCTTTAGGAAATTCTGCCTTACATTGAGCTAACATTAGCGCCCCTCAATTTTTTGAAGCCAGTTTGAATAGTTCCCTCTTCCAAATGCCAGCCCTTGGGCATTTGAAAAAATTGTTACCCTGCTCTTTCTTTTCCAGGATAAATAGCTTCCACCAGTTTGCTCAATGCTCCTCACATGATATAGTTTCTCTCCATCCGGTTCCCTCTCCTCTGGACATATTTCAGTTTATCATTGTTTCTCTTAAACTGTAATTCCCAGAAAAGAACACAGTACCCCTAGGTGCTGTCTGATCAGTTCAAGTAGAATTGGATAAACACTCCCCCAATTCTATTAAGACAGCCCAAGGGCAAAGTTACTTTTTTTTTTTTTTAGCTGTCTCATCCCGTTGTTGACTCACATGGAGCTCAAGGTCAAGGAGAAAGGTTGTGTTTGGGCAGAAATTTAGGTTGTTTAAATCACAGACCAGGTCTTCACAGGGCACTAATTGTGATGCCCTTGGTGAATGGTTCAAAGGAAATGTATATGAAAAGTGGTTGTGTGGGACCCCGCTGGGGTACACTACATTTACTTCCTTTTCATGGTGAAAAGGCACTAAATAAGCCATTAGTCAATATTACGTATCTCTTTAATGTAGAATTATGAAATCCATTTTAAGGAAATAATTCAGGGCCTGCAATTTCTGCCTAGACACATTATCTGCTAGGAAAACCTGTTGGAGAAGATTATTTGCTTTGCATGGCAACTGGCATAAAGTTCAGGGCAGGTGTTGCTTAACAAGTGAATGCTGACCAGGCAGGGTGGCTCACACCTATAATCCCAGCACTCTGGGAGGATTACTTGAGGTCAGAAGTTTGAGATCAGACTGGCCAACATGGTAAAACCCCATCGCTGCAAAAAATACAAAAATTAGCCAGGAGTGGTGGTGGGTGCCTGTAATCTCAGTTACTCAGGAGGCTACAGTGGGAAGATCCCTTGAGTCCAGGAGTTTGAAGTTGCAGTTAGCTATGATTGTGCCCCTACACTCCAACATGGGAGAAAGAGTGAGACCCTACCGCTAAAAAATAACAGTAAAAATAAAACGCAAGGAAGAAAGAAAAGGAAAAAACATGCTTTGTCTGATTTTGCCTTGTTAGAGAAAATCTGTGATGAGAACAAAAGATACAGAAATTATTCTAAAAGTAGAATTTTTAAAACAAAATTTTCTTGTATCAGATGGTTTTTTACTGTGTTCCTTCCAAGTTCCTTGTCAGAAATAAACTGCCTATTAGGTACGATGGCACATGCCTGTAATCCCAGCTACTCCAGAGGCTGAAAGGGAGGATCTCTTGGGGCCAGGAGTGCTAGTGCAGCCTGGGCAACATAGCAAGATCCCATCTCTATAAAAATAAATAAAAAGGAAAAGTGCTTGTGTTATGTTTCAGTGAAGGTATATTGTATTACTGGTATAAGTGTCAAGACATTTTGTGACTGTTTTCTTGAATTTGAATACCTGGAGATGTACTTGGCTTTTGAATTGTCTAAAGTATTGAGACCATAGACAGTGCAGATATGTGCCTATATCCATCCTTTGTATGACCCACCATTCTTTTTCTTTCTTTGGTGAGACGGAGATTTACTCTTGTTGCCCAGGCTGGAGTGCAATGGCGCCATCTCGGCTCACCGCATCCTCCGCCTCCCAGGTTCAAGTGATTCTCCTGTCTCAGCCTCCCGAGCAGCTGGGATTACAGGCATGTGTCACCAGGCCCAGCTAATTTTGTATTTTTAGTAGAGATGGGGTTTCACTGTGTTGCCCAGGCTGATCTCGAACTTCTGACCTCAGGTGATCCGCCCGCCTCAGCCTCCCAAAGTGCTGGGATTACAGGCATGAGCCACTGCGTCCGGCCGACCCACCATTCTTAATGGCCTTTAGAAGGTCACTTTCATTTCCCTCAAGTACAAGACCTTTGTTTCTGGGACAGGGTGATTAATATCAACTATGAAAGAAAGATTAAGTAAATTAAAATGACTTACTATACAGCTATTGGTATATACTCTTCATGTCCAGAAGCAATTTACAATATGTCAAGAAGTGTCTCTACAGTGGTTCTTGCCCTCTCATTTCTACCACTGGTTAGAGAATAGGTATGTGGAAAAGATGTCATAGGGCCGGGCACGGTGTCTCACGCCTGTAATCCCAGCACTTTGGGAGGGCGAGGCAGGTGGATCACCTGAGACCAGCCTGGCCAACATGACAAAACCCCATCTCTACTAAAAATACAAAAATTAGCCAGGTGTGGTGGTGGGTGCCTGTAATCCTGGCTACTTGGGAGGGTGAGGCAGGAGAATTGCTTGAACCCAGGAGGCAGAGGTTGCAGTGAGCTGAGATTGAGCCACTGCACTCCAGCCTGGGAGACAGAGCAAGAGGCTCCATTTCGGGGGAAAAAAAAAAAAATGCCGTAATACAAAATAGGCTAAGAATAAAGAAAAGAGTGCTTAAAATATGTTTTCTATTTGAAGGTCATGTATTTTACCATTGAACCAGGATCTTTTCCCTTCCCTCCTTTGCCTCTTTCCCTCCCGGCATTCTTTCTTGCGCATGTGCTCGCACTCATGCTCACTCTCTCTGTCTTCTTTCTCTCTCTTTAAATGAGACAGTCTCACTCTGTTGCCCAGGCTGGAGTGCAGTAGTGCGATCTTGGCTCACTGCAACCTCCACCTCCGAGGCTCAAGCAATTCTCTTGCCTCAGCCTCCGAGTAGCTGGGATTATAGTAGGCATGTGCCACCACGCCCAGCTAATTTTTTGTATTTTTAGTGGAGATGGGGTTTCACCATGTTGGCCAGGCTGGTCTCGAACTCCTGGTCTCAAGTAATCTGCCCACCTGGGCCTCCCAAAGTGCTGGGATTACAGGTGTGAGCCATTGCACCCAGCCTCCCTCTCTCTCAAGGAAAAAAGAGGAGAAAAGAAAAGGGGGTTTGGGCTATATGCACAAATGCTCTCTCTCTCCCTACATTCTAGTTATGTGAACTTAAATATGAAGAACTAGTTGGGAAGTGGAAATTCTATTTCTTCTAAAATTCTACAGCTGTTCTGGGCACTGCTGATGTTTATAACCTTCCCTCACAGATGTTACATTTTATGAACTGTGACTCATTAGGGTGGTTCTAGCATCTTTAGATGGACAGAAATCCCCAAAGGCAGGATGATTACATAAGTCTGCTTCACTCAAAACCTGAAATATTTGAATAGAATATTTCCTGGGGGGAAAAGAAAGCAGTAAGACTTTGCCATACTTTCACGAATCAGAAACACTAATAATTTTTCTTTTCTGTGGGAGGAATGAGGGAGGTACAATATTCTTGTTTGGGAAGGTTTTGTTTTCATTTGCAGAATGTTTTTAATTTGTATAGGCTTTTTGGTTTGGACCTTGATCTATATTTTTGTTCCAATGTGCAAAAAACCATTTACTGGAAGACATTGTTTGAATGTCCACTCTGTGCAAGGGACCGGATTTGGTGCTAGTTTGAGGCATGGAGAGTAATAAAAGAGCTAGAATATACGGTGCTGCCATCTTTGAGCTTCTCAGTTAGGAAACACCAGGGGCAGAATCATAAAAGTTTAGAATTAGATGTCACCTGTATTTTCCACATGAGACACCTGGGGTCCCAATTGGGCCACTGACCCACCCAAAGTTACATAGTTAGTGATATTCAGAGCTACATTTTAGAACCATCTCTCCTAAGTTCCAGTGCTTTTTCAGCACACAGGACTGCCAAATATCCACGGACTTAAACAGGATCAAGTGTTACGGCAGGTCAGAACTAGGATAAGGCAATTGAGGCAAAATTTAACAGGGCACCAAAAGCCTCAGTAATTAAAATTAATGGAAAATAATCCATGATTAACAAAATATCAAATTTTTAAACAAAGACAAGGTCCTACGCTGCTCTTCCATAACCCAGCTTCGCCTGTCTCACCCTAACGTCAACCCTCCATCATACAATCTGAACTTTTGGGTGGATCAAGGGGGAAAACCAACATGGAAAATATTCCACTGGCTGGAATCCCTAGATGTGTAGAGTGAGCTGTCCAGGTGTTCGAAGATGGATCACAAACCTTTGTGCACAACAGTGTATTGAGAGAAAATGGCTGTCATTTGTTTTAATTAAAAAGTGATGGCAGTTTTGAGGGTAAAACTACAAAAAGAAAGTGAGACTGGGTTGAGCATGGTGGCTCACACCTGTAATCCCAGCACTTTGGGAGGCCGAGGTGGAAGGATTGCTTGAGCTCAAGAGTTCTAGACCAGCCTGGGCAACATAGCAAGACACCATCTCTACAAAAAAAATTTTATAATTACAATGAAATTTTTTAAATGAAGCTGAAGAGTAAAGGGGAAACTCAAGATGTGATAGTGGGTCATAACCTCTACAGGGCACTGCTCCCATAATGAACCCCATTCCATTCAAGAGCACTGCTAGGCAGAGCACAAAATGGAATCCCCAGAACCCTACAAAGGGGTTTAGTTGGAGGGCTTTGATTACAGCAAGATACTGGGTTAAAATTTTTCTTTCCCTGTTTAATTTTCTTCTCTCTCATCCATGTCCTGTGCCTGAAGTGTTAACCAGCACCTGGATTTGCACCATTTGAAAGTACCCTTGCCCTTAGAAAACCCAGAAGAAAAAAACCTAGAAGCAATCACACTGGGTCCCAGAAGAAAGGACAGGCCCTTGGACAAATGCAGTCCTACAGGTTCACATAGGAGTCCTATAGGTCACCAAGAGAGACTGAAAGGGCATGTGGGACTTAACCAGCTCTGGAGCAGTAAAGAATATGCATTTGGGCCGGGCGCAGTGGCTCACGCCTGTAATCCCAGCACTTTGGGAGGCCGACGCAGGCAGATCACGAGGTCAAGAGATTGAGACCAGCCTGGCCAATATGGTGAAACCCCGTCTCTACTAAAAATACAAAAATTAGCTGGGCGTGGTGGTGCGCACCTGTAGTCCCAGCTACTCGGAAGGCTGAGGCAGTAGAAATCACTTGAACCCAGGAGGTGGAGGTTGCAGTGCGCCGAGATCACGCCACTGCACTCCAGCCAAGGCAACAGAGCAAGACTTGGTCTAAAAAACAAACAAAAAAAGAATATGCTTTTCCTGAGTGTCCTCTCTTCATTTATTCCTCAGAATCCAGCTGCCAGAGGCTGGATGAGAGTTGGTTTACATCTGGCAATTTGGTTCTTGTAAAGTCATCCTGCAGTGACTTTAACAACAGAGTCAGAACCAGCCCGAGGAACAGAGCAGACTCTGGGCAAATGTGGACTTCTGACGTAGTACTAAAATAAAGCTATGATAAAAGCTCAAAATTAAAAACTGTTCTTACAAACTGGCTGCTCCACTGGGCCTGGAGGTGGAGGTGAGAAGAGGGGAGTGGTGAGGAAGAGTCTGAGAAAGAATCAAAGTCGCTTTCTTTTCCATGCATCGTTCTGGGCTTCCTCCTATCAAGTCATCCTCCTCTGCAGGGAAGAATGGTTTATTTTGTGTTTTGTTTTGTTTTTTCATTCAGCCACAGGTGCAGCTCTAGAAAAGGAATGTAGATTTATTCTCTAAATTCAGCATCGCTCTCTCCTGGTTTAAACACTATTTATTTATTTATTTATTTTTATTTTTATTTATTTTTTTGAGACAGAGTCTCACTGTCGCCTAGGCTGGAATGCAGTGGTATGATCTTGGCTCACTGCAACCTGTGCCTCCAGGGTTCCAGCGATTCTCCTGCCTCGACCTCCAAGTAGCTCGGATTACAGGCGTGTGCCACCACGCTCAGCTAATTTTTGTATTTTTAGTAGAGATAGGGTTTCACTGCGTTTGCCAGGCTGGTCTCAAACTCCTGAACTCAAGTGATCTGCCCACCTCAGCCTCCCAAAGTGCTGGGATTACAGGCATGAGCCACCACGCCTGGCCTGGTTTAAGCACTTTTGAAGAAGGATTCTTGTGCCCCAAATGCCTGGTGGTTAAGAACATAGGCATTTACCAATTTAGATAAGAATGCTAATCATGCCACTGAATAGTTTTTGGGGTTTTGTTTGTTTGTTTGTTTTTGAGATGGAGTTTCACTCCTGTTCCCCAGGCTGTATTGCAATGGTGTGATCTCGGCTCACTGCAACCTCCGCCTCCCAGGTTCAAGGGATTCTTCTGCCTCAGCCTCCCGAGTAGCTGGGATTACAGGCATGCGCCACTGCTCCCAGCTAATTTTGTATTTTTAGTAGAGATGGAGTTTCCCTATGTTGGTCAGGCTGGTCTCGAACTCCCAACCTCAGGTGATCTGCCTGCCTCGGCCTCCCAAAGTGCTGGGATTACAGGCGTGAGCCACTGCGCCTGGCCTCTGAAGAGTTTTTATAAATTCTTTAATTTTCTTGATTTTCAGCTTCCTAATCTGTAAATAGAGAATAAGAGCTCAAAAACGATATCCATTATCATAGAGTCTTGCCCTTGAAGGATGATGTGAAAAGTCCACTTAGTGCATGAGTCAGTGCCTTCTGGAGTATCCCCAGCCAGCAGCATCCAGGCTGTGATCAAACTCCCTTAGTGCCCACCCAATGCAATGCATTCTGCTTGCTTGCTTGCTTTCTTGGTAGACTTTTAACTTTCTGGATATTAAACAGATGCAACGTCTTGCTTCTAAGTCAAAATTTTCTTGACTATTATGCCAACATTTTCTGCCCTAGCATCTTCAAGTATCTGAAGATAGTCATGAAACTCCTTAAGTCCTCCTTTCTCACTGGTTCCTTAAGCATTCCAACAAAGACTAATTTCAAGTCCCCTCCATCACCCTGCAGAGTTCTTTCTTTTGCACTGCTTTTGTTTTCCAGTGGTCTCTCCAATGTCCATTTTGCAGAACTCAACAAACTGTTCCAAATATAGATTGGCCATGAGAAAATAGTGTTGCAGTTGCTACCTTTGTTTTCATTACCATAAAATAATTTAAAATGTCTATGATGCGTCGGGCATGGTGGCTCATGCCTGTAATCCCAGCACTTTGGGAGGCTGAGGCGGGCAGATCACGAGGTCAGGAGATCGAGACCATCTTGGCTAACACAGTGAAACTCCGTGTCTACTAAAAATACAAAAAAAAATTAGCCAGGCTTTGTGGCTGGTGCCTGTAGTCCCAGCTACTTGGGAGCCTGAGGCAGGAGAACGGCGTGAACCTGGGAGGCAGAGCTTGCAGTGAGCCGAGATTGTGCCACTGCACTTCAGCCTGGGCGATAGAGCGAGACTCCGTCTCAAAAAAAAAAAAAAAAAAAAAAAAAAAGTCTATGATGGCCCAGTGTGGTGGCTCATGCCTGTAATCCCAACACTTTGGGAGCCTGAGGCGGACAGATCACTTGAGGCCAGGGGTTCAAGATCAGCCTGGCCGACATGGTGAAACCCTGTCTCTACTAAAAATACAAAAATTAGCCGGGCGTGGCTACTTGGGAGACTGAGGCATGAGAACTGCTTGGACCTGGGAGGTAGAGGTTGCAGTGAGCCATATTACGCCACTGCACTCCAGCCTGGGTGACAGAGCGATATTCTGTCACCAAAAAAAAAAAAAAAAAGCCCATAACGAATGTCTTAAACCATTAAATCATCATAATAATGAATCTGGCACCCACATTGTTTAGTTGTGGTCAACGAGCAAGTCTTTTAACCTGTGCTTTATCTTTTATGTCTACATCTTATCCTATACTCCTTTGTATCTCCTCCTAGGAGAAAAAAAGGCACAAATATTTTCAAGCATAATCTGTACGAATGAAAGGAAGTTCTAGAATTGTCCTCCTCCCCCTCCTTTTGCTGCTGTGTTGAAACAGCATTACTGTTGCTACAAAAACAAGTTTCCCTTCCCTCCCCTTCATTGAGTTCATGTATTACCTCTCCGGATAATGAACAGTATTGTTTTGTGAAGTGGCTGCAATCTCAATATATTCTGCAAGGTCCCTGATTACTGTTCCCTCCCCTTTAGGAGAAAGCCTTCTCTTTCTTTAAGAGAGGAAGTATCTTGATGTAAATTAAAATAAGAATACATTGACCACCAATTCAGTTTCCACCCTAAACTGGATATTCTCCCTGGACTTCTATCAATGTCACTGACAATGAGTGATTGAGAACCAAAACATCTTCAGTGCCAAATAATGATGAAATAGAAAGCAGAGATACAGGAGTACAAATTTCCACCATGTTCCCCAGTGGAAATTTTGGAAGGCTATCTTGGCCTGCAGAGAATTCAGGTCATGATTAAATATTCTAGTCTCAGACATAGTCATTTTTAGCCTTTAAAAAATATTTAAACCATGGGTAATATCTATTTATGAGAAGTTTTATAATCTGGTAGGTACCCTGCTATGATGCTTGCTTCCAAAATCAGTCCTTTGTTACGTTACGATACATAACATTGCCCAGAAGACACTAAAGAGGATGCAAGCTTTAGTTCTGACTCTTTATATGGATGAACATATCTGCAACATAAACTAAACATTTCAGATCTCTAACAGTTGTCCAGTCACATGCCCTACAAATGTAAAGTTACAGAAGTCCTGTGCCATCAAGGTTTCCAAATTCAGTGCCCATATTCTTCCTGATAAAAAGTTACTTGTATACACAGAAATCTCTTTTTAAGAAAACACAGCTGGGGCCAGGTGTGATGTAATCCCAGCACCTTGAAAAGCTGAGCCAGGTGGATCACCTGAGGTCAGGATTTCAAGGCCAGCCTGGCCAACATGGTGAAACCCCGTCTCTATGAAAAATACAAAAGCTAACTGGGCATGGTGGCGGATACCTGTAATCCTAGCTACTCAGGAGGCTGAGGCAAGAGAATCACTTGAACCCAGGAGGTGGAGGTTGCAGTGGGCCAAGATCGTGCCATTGCATTCCAGCCTGGGTGACAGAGCAAGACTTGGTTTCAAAAAAAAAGAAAACACAGTTGGCCCTCCATATCTGAGTTTCACAGACGAAAAATATTCAGAAGAAAAAAAATCAATGGCTGTATTTGTACTAAACATGCCCAGGCTTTTTTTCTTATTGTTATCCCCTAAACAATACAACAACTATTTTTATAGCATTTACATTGTATTAGATGTTATAACTACTCTAAAGAGGATTTAAAGTATATGGAATGATGTGCATAGGTTATATGCAAATACTATACTATTTTATATCAGGGACTTGAGCATCCTTGGATTTTGGTATGTGTGGGAGGTCCTGAAACCAATGTCCTGTGGATACTGAAGGATAACTGTACTAATTTGGAGATTTCTCTCTACTATGATCAAGATTTTCAAACATTACATTGCTGATTACATTACATCGTTACATTGTGATTCTTTCCAAGACTTGAGATAAAGTTTGGGAAGAAGTTACCACTTGTTTCAGTTTATGAAATAGAAAAAAAAAAAAGTGGTAGAGCATGAGATAAAGACCTAGACTGTATCCTTATAGCAAAGGTAAACAAGGAGTTTTTGTTTTGCTTTGTTGTGTTTTGTTGTTGTTGTTTAAGAGACAGGGTTCTCACTATGGTCTTGAAGCCCTGACCTCAAGCAATCCTCCCACCTCAGCCTCCCAAAATGCTAGGATTTCAAACATGAGCCACCATGTCCAACCAAATAAACAGAAAAATAAAAATAAAAATAAAAAATAATAAAATATAATTGAATCAAAATTCAAATAAAATTTATTTTATAAAATAAAATAATAAAATAAAAAATAAAAAAAAAATAAATAAATTTTTTTTTTTAAAGAGAACGCCAGTCCCGGTAGCTCATTTTTGCAATCCTAGTACACTGGGAGGTTGAGGTGGGCAGATCACTTGAAATCAGGAGTTCGAGACCAGCCTGGGCAACATGGTAAAACCCCATCTCTACTAAAAAATACAAAAAGTAGGCCTGGCGCAGTGGCTCATGCCTGTAATCCCAGCACTTTGGGAGGCCGAGGTGGGAAAATCACGAGGTCAGAAGTTCAAGACCAGCCTGGCCAACATAGTGAAACTCCATCTCTACTAAAAAAAATACAAAAAATTAGCCAGGTGTGGTGGTGTGCGCCTGTAATCCCAGCTACTCAGGAGGCTGAGGCAGGAGAATAGTGTGAACCCGGGAGGCAGAGGTTGCAGTGAACCGAGATCGCGCCATTGCACTCCAGCCTGGGTGACAGAGCGAGACTCTGTATCAAAAAAAAAAAAAAAAAAAAATTAGTTGGGCATGGTGGCACATGCCTCTGTGGTCCCAGCTGCTGCGGGTGGCTGAGGTAGAGGATTGCTTGAGCCCTGGGAGGTCAAGGCTGCAGTGAGCCAACATCACACCACTACACTACAGCCTAGGTGACACAGCCAGACCCTGTCTAAAAAAAAAAAAAAAAAGAAAGAGAAGTAAGAGAAATATAGTACTATACAGTATAATATTTTCTCACCACTCTTAACCAGATATGGTGATAAACATGGCATTTTGGGGCTAGACACAGGGGTCCCCAACTCAGATGCCTTCAGAAGGCAGACATATAATAATGTGTGAACTCCATGCAGATTCAGTATTTTTTTTAACAAAGTCCACAAAACAAAACATGTTTTTGAATCTCTACTTAAAATCTTCTCACCCTTCTCATGAAGTAACTCAAAGAAGTCCCACTCTCTCTCTCTGCCTTCCCCTTTATTCTCTACTGCTTTTAAAAGTCCTAAGCTAAAACTTGTAGGTAATGATCAATACCTACAATTATCGAGCATGCTTTGTGTGCCAGGCACTGAGCTAACCACTTTTTAAGGATTTCCCCATGTGAACATTACAGCAACCCCATGAGTTAGGTGCTATTACTATTCCCATTTTAACAAGTAAGGAAACAGATTTCTTGGTAGCAGGTAATTTGTCCATGATCCCACAGCCAGAAACAGGAAGGACTGGGATTTGAGAGCAGGCAGTCTAATTCTACAACCCATAGACCACGATATTGCCTGATATTTACATTATACATCTGTGTTAATTATCTTAAAGTCTTGCAAAGGAATTAAGCCTAAAAGTTTCTTCCTAACCTAAGGATAATCATTCACCCCCAG